>NC_000010.11:12131212-12282727 GCF_000001405.40 Homo sapiens | reverse complement strand
TAAGCTATGAGAATGCAATGGCATAAAAAAGACACAGTGGACTTTGGGAACTCAGGGGGAATGGGTGGGATGGGGGGAGGGATAAAATATTACATACTGGGTTCAGGGTACAGTGCTCGGGTGATGGGTGCAAAAATCTCACAAATCACCGCTAAAGAACTTACTCATGTAACCAAACACCACCTGTTCCCCTAAAACCTATGAAAATAAAAAAAATAAAAATAAAAAAAAACTCTTAACAAAATAAAAAGTGTTCTGGGAACTGCTGGTGCAGTGCAAATCAAGGGCACAGAGAACTTCCAGAAGGATGTCTGGACAGCTAGGACTGAAGTCATCCTGTTTAGAGCCTTAAGGTGAATAGATCATCATTTCCTCCCTTTGAACAAGAAGGCTGGGCACATTGTTAGCAGGTTAGATTGGGCGGCATGAGACTAAGGGTATGTTGTGAGGGTTGGGGGGTTGGGGGTTCAGACAGACCTGAGATCCAATGCAAGCTCTGCTGTCTGCTGTGTGGCTTTAAGAAAGCTTCCTAACTTGTCTGGGCACCGCTTTTCTCATATATGAAGTCAGAGTAACAAAGACTTTTGCCAGAGAGTTCATTTGAGGACTAGCTAAACATCTGCTGAATGAAAAAAAAAAAAAAAAGATAACAAATAGTGAATCAGCACATGGAAAGGTGTTTAAAATCATTAGACATGGCCAGGTGTGGTGGCTCACACCTGTAATCCCAGCACTTTGGGAGGCCGAGGTGGGCGGATCATGAGGTCAGGAGATCAAGACCAGCCTGGCCAACACGGTGAAACCCCATCTCTACTAAATATACAAAAATTAGCCAGGCATGATGGTGGGCACCTGTAATCCCAGCTACTCCAGAGGCTGAGGCAGGAGAATTGTTTGAACCCAGAAGGCAGAAGTTGCAGTGAGCTAAGATTGTGCCATTGCACTTGCAGCCTGGGCGACAGAGTGAGACTCCAGCTCAAAAAAAAAAAAAAAAAATCATTAGACATTAGGCAAATGCAAATTAAAACCAGAGTGACATGGCACTTTACACCCATGAATGGCTAAATTTAAAAGATTGACAATATTAAACATTGGCAAGGAAGTAGAGCAACTGGACTTTTCTTAGTGTTGGTACAATTACTTTGGATAGCAGCTTAGTGGTATTTCATAATTATAGTTAAACATACACTGACTATACGATCCACCAATTCTATTCCTAGGAATGTACGCAAGAACAGTGAAAGCATATTTCCTGAAAAAGATAAGTACAAGCATGTAGGTATCAGCTTTATGCTCCGTATTCCAAAAGTAGAGATAATCCAGTTTCCATTGCCAGATAATGAGATAAAATTTTTAAGATATGGTAATCTCTCATTATATTACTAGCATGGAACAAGATTTCTTGTTTTTTATTGATAAAATTTATTTATTTATTTATTTATTTATTTATTTATTTTATTTTTAGAGAACAGGGTCTCGCTACATTACTCAGGCAGACCTCAAACTCTTGGGGTCGGTCAAGTGATCCTCCTGCCTTAACTTCCCAAGTAGTTGGGACCACAGGTGCCTGTGCCACTGTGCCTGACTAAATGAATGTTGAGGCCGGCTGTAGTGGCTCACACCTATAACCCCAACACTTTGGGAGCCAAGGAGGGTGGATCACCTGAGGTCAGGGGTTCAAGACCAGCCTAGCCAACACAGAGAAACCCCATCTCTACTAAAAATACAAAAATTTGCAGAGTGTGGTGGTACACACCTGTAATCCCAGCTACTCGGGAGGCTGAGGCAGGAGAATCACTTGAACCTGGGAAGCAGAGGATGCATGAGCCAAGATGGTGCCACTGCACTCCAGACTGGGTGACAGAGCAAGACTCTGTCTCTAAAAAAAAAAAAAAAAAAAAAAAAAAAGTTGATATATTAGAATACTATTTAGCAATAAAAAAGAAAAACATGCAATAACATGCATAAATCTCAAAATTATTATGTTGAGAAAAGATGCCAGACACAAAAAAGTAAATACTAAATGATTGTACATCTGTAATATTCTAAAACAGGCAAAACTAAAATATTGTGATAGAATTCAGAACAGTGGTTGCCTCTGCTGGGAAAAATTCACTAGAAATGGGTATGAAGAAACTTTCTGGGTTGATGGGAATGTTCTTTATCTGGACTGGGCAGCTGATTACACAGGTGTACACAGACGTCAAAACTCATCCAACTGTACACTTGACATCCGTGCATTTTATTGTACAAAAATTATACCTCTTTTTTTTAAGTACTGGAAAAGAGTACAAAGAAAGAATTGCCTATGTCTTTTCTTTTTTTCTTTTTTCTTTTTTTTGAGATGGAGTCTCGCTCTGTCGCCCAGGCTGGAGTGCAGTGGTGCCATCAGAGCTCGCTGCAGGCTCCGCCTCCTGGGTTCATGCCATTCTCCTGCCTCAGCCTCCTGAGTAGCTGGGACTACAGGTGCCCGCCACCACGCCCAGCTAATTTTTTGTATTTTTAGTAGAGACAGGGTTTCACCATGTTAGCCAGGATGGTCTCAAACTCTTGACCTCATGATCCGCCCACCTTGGCCTCCCAAAGTGCTGGGATTACAGGTGTGAGCCACCGCGCCCAGCCTGCCTATGTCGTTTCTTCACTCCTAGGCTTAGTGTTGCGCTCAATTTAACCAAGCCCTTCAACCAGCTAGAAGGCCAGCTTTGTATGTATTTTGCAAGAAGCTCCTCATTAAGCTGTGAGTCCTGTCTTGGGGAGATTTATAGGAAGGTGGATGTTGACAAAAGGCCTGAACTCTTCCAATACTTCAATTAAGATGCATTCTAGGCCAGGTGCTATGGCTCACCACTGTAATCCCAGCACTTTGGGAGGCCAAGGCAGGCAGATCACGAGGTCAGGAGATCGAGACCAGGCTGGCCAACATGGTGAAACCCGGTCTCTACTAAAAACACAAAAATTAGCTGGACATTGTGGCAGGTGCCTGTACTCCAGCTACGTGGGAGGCTGAGGCAGGAGAACCACTTGAAACTGGAAGGTGGAGGTTACAGTGAGCCGAGATCACGCCACTGCATTCCAGCCTGGGCAACAAGAGTGAAACTCCGTCTCAGAAAAAAAAAAAAAAAAAATGCATTTGAGAAATATCCACTAAAGAAGAGAAAGGCCAATAGCGAGTCAAGAGAGAGCAAGAGCTGTTTTGTTGGTGTAACTGGGATGGAATCCACACTAGAGCCGGTGGAGGCGTGAGTGGGTGGTGGGGAGATGATGAAAGGCTGGATAGTGTGAGACACGGATTGTGCTGGTTACGAAACAGCCTTAAGTATGTTCGGCATAGACGCAACAGCAAACATCAATATACACTTATAGCAGTATTTTTTAACCAACTAGAAAGAGTAGGGGGACACAGAGGCAGGAAAAAAAATAAAATAAAAAATTAGGGCCGGTAATTACAGGCTCACACCTGTAATCCCAGCACTTTGGAAGGCCAAGGCAGACAGATCGTTTGAGGCCAGGAATTCCAGACCAGCCTGGGTAACATGCCAAAACCCCATCTCTACACAAAACAGAAAAATCAGCTGGGTGTGGCGGTGCACACCTGTAGTTCCAGCTACTCAGGAGGCTGAGGTGGGAGGATCACTTGAGCCTGGGAGGTTGAGGCTACGGTGAGCTACGATTGCAGCAGTGGCTCACGTCTGTAATCCCAGCATTCTTGGAGGCCGAGGCGGGCAGATCACTTGAGGTCAGGAGTTCAAGATCAGCCTGGCCAAATGGCGAAACCCCATCTCTACTAAAAAATACAAAAATTAGCCAGGTGTGGTGGCGCATGCCTGTAATCCCAGCTACTCAGAAGGCTGAGGAAGGAGAATCGCTTGAACTCAGGAGGCGGAGGTTGCAGTGAGCCAAGATCATGCCACTGCACTCCAGCCTGGGCAACAGAGTGAGACTCCATCTCAAAAAAAAAAGAAAAAAGAAAAAAAAGAAAAAAGTGGTGTATCTGACTATATGAACTTTTAAAAATGTCAAAAATAAAAAATCAAACTATTAAAATGCAAACTGACCAGGAAAAATATTTGTACCAAATCTGACCACAGCATTAATATCTTCATTACATGAGAAAAATCCTTATTAATTGGTTTTTTAAAACTGTCTCCAGGCCGGTCATGGTGGCTCATGCCTGTAATCCTATCACTTTGGGAGTCCGAGGTGGGCCAATCACCTGAGGTCAAAAGTTTGAGACCAGCCTGGCCAACATGGTGAAAACCCATCTCTACTAAAAGTACAAAAATTAGTTGGGCGTGGTGGCACACACCTGTAATCCCAGCTACTCAGGAGGCTGACGCAGGAGAATTGCTTGAACCTGGGAGGCAGAGATTGCAGTGAGCCAAGATCGCACCATTGCACTCCAGCCTGGATGCCAAGAGCGAAACTCTATCTCCAGTGGGCCAGGCACGGTGGCTCCCACCTGTAATCCCAGCACTTTTGGAGGCCAAGGTGGGTGGATCATTTGAGGCCAGGAGTTCAAGATCAGCATGGCCAACATGGTAAAACCCTGTCTCTACTAAAAATACAAAAAAATGAGCTCGGCGTGGTGGCATGCGCCTATAATCCCAGCTACTTGGGAAACTGACACACGAGAATCATTTGAATGCAGGAAGTGGAGGTTGCAGTGAGCTGTGATCGCGCCACTGCACTCCAGCCTGGGCAACAGAGTGAGACTGTCTCAAAAAAAAAAAAAAAGCAAATTTAGCTGGGCCTGATGGCGTATGCCTCTGGTCCTAGCTACTGGGAAGGCTGCAGTGGAAGGATCCACTGAGCCTGGGAGGTTAAGGCTGCAGTAGACATGATTGCACCACTGCACCCCAGCCTGAGCTACAGCCCAAGACCCTGTCTCAAAAAAAAAAAAAAGAAAAAGAAAAAACAAGGCTCTAATGAAAAAATGGGAAAAGGACATAAAGCTATCATTCAAAGAACTATAACCAGTAAACAAATACATAAAATAAGGCTCAGTTTTTCTTTTTTCTTTTTCTTTTTTTTTTTTTTTTTTGAGCCAGAGTCTCACTCTGTCGCCTAGGCTAGAGTACAGTGGCACAATCTCAGCTCACTGCAACCTCTGCCTCCCGGGTTCAAGCGA
Organism: Homo sapiens; assembly: GCF_000001405.40. NCBI lineage: Eukaryota > Metazoa > Chordata > Mammalia > Primates > Hominidae > Homo > Homo sapiens. The sequence goes on along the minus strand of NC_000010.11, from coordinate 12,277,599 downwards.
TTCTCCTGCCTCAGCCTCCCGAGTAGCTGGGATTACAGGCACCCGCCACCATACACGGCTAATTTTTGTATTTTTAGTAGAGATGGGGTTTCACCATATTGGCCAGGCTGCTCTCGAACTCCTGACCTTGTGATCTGCCCACCTCAGCCTCCCAAAGTGCTAGGATTACAGGCGTGAGTAACCGTACCTAGTCAAGGCTCAATTTTTCTAATCAAAAAAGAAGTTAAAATATTAAATTTTCATTTTGCTACTAAATCAGCCAAACAAAATTTTAAATTAATATAACTATTACAGCTGGGCGTGGTGGCTCACGCCTGTAATCCCAGCGCTTTGGGAGGCCAAGGCAGGCAGATCACGAGGTCAGGAGATCAAGACCATCCTGGCTAACACGGTGAAACCCTGTCTCTACTAAAAATACAAAAAATTAGCTAGGCGTGGTGGTAGGTGCCTGTAGTCCCAGCTACTTGGGAAGCTGAGGCAGGAGAATGGCGTGAACCCGGGAGATGGAGCTTGCAGTGACCCAAAATCGCACTACTGCACTCCAGCCTGGGTGACAGGGTGAGACTCCGTCTCAAAAAAAAAAAAAAAAAAAGAGTTCGAGACCAGCCTGGCCAACATGGTGAAACCCTGTCTTTACTAAAAATACAAAATTAGCTGGGCATGGCGGCGTGTGCCTGTAGTCCCAGCTACCCAGGAGGCTGAGGCAGGAGAATCACTGGAACCCAGGAGGCGGAGTTTGCAGTAAGTTGAGATTACGCAACTGCACTACAGCCTGGGTGACAGAGTGAGAGTCCATCTCAAAAAAAAAAAAAAAACTACATATATATATCTATATACACACACACACATATATATATAAAACTGGCAAGGAAGGACCTTATAGATGGAGAGCATATAAATGGAGAATATAATTTACATATTGTAAATCGGCATAATTCTTTTCAAAGTTATTTTGGCACAAGACCTCAACAGTCATCAAAATGTTCACACTCTTGAACCCACTTGTTTACAGAGTCAACAACATTACAATGCAGACAGCCTATGCGTAACAATGCGATGTTTCTTGTAGGGTTCATTATAATAAAAACAACAACAAAAAGGCAGTAATTTAAAGGTCTAAACAGACAGAGGCTGATTAGGCAGCTTGGTTACGAGTTTAGAACCGGGAATCAAACATGGTGAGAAGCCCAGCCCTGGCACTAACAGGCTGTGTTACCAATGGCTCTCGGAAATTCCTCATCTGAAAAAACGATCATGCTATCACCTGCATCCTAAAGTTGTGAGGATTAGATGAGCTAATGCATGGGCTCACACGGCATTCAACATAGCATACAACGAACATAGTACATGTCAGACTTTTTTTGTTTTTGAGACAGAGTTTTGCTCTTGTTGCCCAGGCTGGAGTGCAATGGCACGATCTCGACTCACCACAACCTCCACCTCCTGAGTTCAAGCAATTCTCCTGCCTCAGCCTCCCAAGTAGCTGGAACTACAGGCACACGCCACCATGCCCGGCTAATTTTGTATGTTTAGTAGAGACGGGGTTTCACCATGTTGGTCAGGCTGACCTCAGGTGATCCACCTGCCTCAGCCTCCCAAAGCGCTGGGATTACAGGAGTTAGCCACTGCACCTGGCCCATGTCAGATATTATTAACCCTGCCACTTGACAAAATACCATTTATCACCTGGGCACAGTGGCTTATGCCTGTAATCCCAGAACTTTGGGAGGCCGAGGCATGAGGATCGCTTGAGCCCAGGAGTTCAAGACCACCTTGGGCCACATGATGAAACCAGTCTCTACAAAATTAAAAACTTGGCCAGGTGTGGTTGGGGGTGGTGCCTGTGGTCCCAGCTACTCGGGAGGCGGAGATGGGAGGATAGCTTGAGCCCAGGAGGTCAAGGCTGCAGTGAGCCAAGACCACACTATTGCATGCTGCATTCCAGCCTGGGTGACAGAGTGAGACCCTGTCTCATAAAACAAAAAACAAAAACAAAAACCTAAATACCATTTAGCTACAATATAAAACAAAAATTGGGAGAAAATAGTTAGCAAAGTGCCTATGATATGCTTTTATGTGTTTTGTTTTTGTTTTGAGACAAATTTTCACTCTGTCACCCAGGCTGGAGTGCAATGGTATGACCTCAGCTCACTGCAACCTCCACCTCCTGGGTTCAAGTGATTCTCCTGCCTCAGCCTCCTGAGTAGCTGGGATTACAGGCATGCACCACCATGCCCGGCTAGTTTTTGTATTTTTAGTAGAGACAGGGCTTCACCATGTTGGTCAGGCTGTTCTTGAACTCCTGACCTCAGGTGATCCACCTGCCTTGGCCTCCCAAAGTGCTGGGATTACAGGTTTGAGCCACCTCGCCCAGCCACTATGATACGTTAAGTAGGAAAAAAAGTCCAATTCCAAATTACAGATGGATGGTGGTGATATATAATTATATATAATTTACATATTATAAATTGGTATAATTCTTTTCAAAGTCTTTTTGGCACAAATCAAGCCATATTTGCACTATAATTCTAATAGTCCATCTCTAATAGCTATATGTGACCACAGAGAACTTGGAAGTCATCAAACGAGTGCCACAGAGTTGTGTTAGGGTGATAAGATCATAGATACATTTTTTTCTATTGTAATTGTCTATAAACTTGTCATTTCATACATAAAAACAAATTCAAGGCCGGGCACAGTGGCTCACGGCTATAATCCCAGCACTTTAGGAGGCCGAGGCGGGTGGATCACTTGAACCCAGGAGTTTGAGACCAGCCTGGGCAACAGAGTGAAACCCCATCTCTACTAACAATACAAAAATTAGCCGGGCGTGGCGGCGGGCGCCTGTAATCCCAGCTACTTCGGAGGCTGAGGCAGGAGAATTGCTTGAACTCGGGAGGTGGAGGGTGCAGTGAGCCAAGATCATGCCACTGCACTTCAGCCTGGGTGATAGAATGAGACACTTCCTCAAAAAATAACATAGGCCGGGCACAGTGGCTCACACCTGTAATCCCAGCACTTTGGGAGGGCGAGGCGAGCAGATCACAAGGTCAGGAGATCGAGATCGTCCTGGCTAATACGGTGAAACCCCATCTCCACTAAAAAAATACACAAAAAAATCAGCTGGGCGTGGTGGCGGGCACCTGCAGTCCCAGCTACTCGGGAGGCTGAGGCAGGAGAATGGCGCAAACCTGGGAGGTGGAGCTTGCAGTGAGCAGAGATCGCACCACTGCACTCCAGCCTGGGCGACAGAGTGAGACTCTGTCTCAAGAAAAACAAAAAACAAAAATAAATAAATAAATAAATTCAAGACCATGAGTTCCAATTTTTGATTCAGAAATCAAGAGTTGTTAAAACAGTTTGCCTGGGCTATCAGGTCCCTTCCTTGTTTGCTGTCCTTGGCTGCAGCTCAGCTGGCCAGGAGCAGTCACTTCTTGGTACTAACTGTTAGGCTTATTGTGAGTACCTCTGAATCGTATCTAAAAGATCCCATTTTTCTCAAGCTTTCTTTTTCTTTTCTTTCTTTTTTTTTTTTTGAGACTGTCTTGCCCTGTCACCAGGCTGGAGTAAAGTGGTGAGAACTCGGCTCATTGCAATCTCTGCCTCCAGGGTTCAAGCGATTCTCTTGCCTCAGCCTCCCAAGTAGCTGGGACTACAGGCTCCCACCACCACGTCCAGCTAATTTTTGTATTTTTAGTAGAGATGGGTTTTCACCATGTTGGCCAGGATGGTCTCGATCTCTTGACCTTGTGATCCACCCGCCTCAGCCTCCCAAAGTGCTGGGATTACAGGTGTGAGCCACCACACCCGGCCAAGCGTTCTTATTCGTATTTTTATTAATTATATTATTTTTATTTTACAAATAAAATAGAGACAGGGTTTTGCTATGTTGGTCAGGCTGATCTCAAACTCCTGGCCTCAAGCAATCCTCCCACCTTGGCCTCCCAAAATGCTGGAATTACCACCACCACCCAGCCCATCTTTTTTTTTTTTTTTTCTGGAGACAGTCTAGCTCTGTCACCCAGGCTGGAGTGCAGTGGCGAGTTCTTGACTCACTGTAACCTCCACCTCCCAGGTTCAAGTGATTCTCCCACCTAAGCCTCCCAAGTAGGTGGGACTACAAGCACATGCCACCGCACCTGGCTAAATTTTATATTTTTAGTAAAGACGGGGTTTCACCATGTTGGCCAGGCTGTTCTTGACCACCTGACCTCAAGTGATCCACCTGCCTCAGCCTCCCAAAGTACTGGGATTCCAGACGTGAGCCACCACTCCTGACCCATCTTTTTAAGCTTTCTACCTACATTAATGGACACCAGCAGCTGTGTCTCTACTGCTCTCACCCTTACAGATTCTGCTCCTCTCTGCACGAGCAGGTAGGTGACGGAGCCATAGGAGATGGGCCGTGCTCTGGATGCCTTCTTCAACCCTCACAGACAAGAAAAGCCGTGTTTTCCAGGCCGAGTGTTGCCTGGAAGCCTCTCTCCTATTATTCAAAAGCCCTTCCACCTGTGCCTAATCTAGATGATTCAATGGGGCTTTGCAGTTTAACTGCTTCCTGCCCTCTACATGTTGGTTACGTGTATGCGATCCCAAGTTTGTGAGGGTGCAATTACTTGAAGCAGTAAAGAGGTTGTTGCCAAAACGGAGTCCTCAATCCAAACTCAGCCACTGTTTGCAGAAGAGAATATTCTGGGAATTTCTCAATATGAGTAGCTAATGGTAGTTGTGATTAAAACCTTCTTAGTGTAAATTATAGCAAGCAGAAACAGTGATGACATTTGTCTCTGTGACTGTGATGTAAGAAAGTCCACAGACATGTTATTTAGTACAAATTGACCATCTACTGTGTGCCAGGTGTCATACCAGGTATAGCAAACATACATTTCCATAGTTGAAAAAGAACGTAGAGATCACACATTCCAACCATCCATAGATTGTTGCATCCAATTTACAACATCTCCACCAAGAATAACTCATGGGCCAGGTGCAGCGGCTCACGCCTGTAATCCCACCACTTTGGGAGGCCAAGGCAGGTGGATCACCTGAGGTCAGGAGTTCAAGGCCAGCCTGGCCAACATGGTGAAACCCCATCTCTACAAAAAATATAAAAAGTAGCTGAGCACGGTGGCACATGCCTGTGGTCCCACCTACTCAGAAGGCTGAAGCACAAGTAATTGCTTGAACCTGGGAGGCGGAGGTTGCTGTGAGCCAAGATCACACAACTGCACTCCAGCCTGGGTGACAGAGAGAGACTCGGTCTCAAGAAAACAAACAAACAAACAAAAACTCTTATGGAGAGGAACCCACAGATTCCCATAGCAGTCCATTCTACTTTTACTCAGCTCTGACTGTTAGAAAGTGCTCCCTTGGAGGCTGAGGCAGGAGAATCACTTGAACCTGGGAGTCAAAGGTTGCAGTGAGCCAGAATCGCACCACCGCACTCCAGCCTGACGACAGAGAGACTCCATCTCAAAAAAAAAAAGAAAAGAAAAAAAGAAAGAAAGTGCTCCCTTGGGCCGGGCGCGGTGGCTCACGCCTGTAATCCCAGCACTTTGGGAGGCCGAGGTGGGCGGATCACGAGGTCAGGAGATCGAGACCATCCTGGCTAACACAGTGAAACCCTGTCTCTACTAAAAATACAAAAAAAATTAGCCGGGCGTGGTGGTAGGTGCCTGTAGTCCCAGCTGCTTGGGAGGCTGAGGCAGGAGAATGGCGTGAACTCGGGAGGCGGGGCTTGCAGTGAGCCGAGATCGCGCCACTGCACTCCAGCCTGGGTAACAGCGAGACTCCATCTCAAAAAAAAAAAAAGAAAAAGAAAAAAGAAAGTGCTCCCTTGGGTTAATTCCTTTTTTTTTTTTTTTTTTTTTGAGACCAAGTCTCGCTCTGTCGCCCAGGCTGGAGTGCAATGACGCGATCTCAGCTCACTGTAATCTCTGCCTCTTGGGTTCAAGCAATTCTCCTGCCTCAGCCTCCCGAAAAGCTGGGACTACAGGCACGTGGCACCACACCTGGCTAATTTTTTGTGTTTTTAGTAGAGACAAGGTTTCACTGTGTTGGCCAGGCTGGTCTCAAACTCCTGACTTCAGGTGATCCACCCGCCTCGACCTCCCAAAGTGCCGGGATTACAGGTGTGAGCCACCGCACCCGGCCTCCCTTGGGTTATTTCCTAATTCATAATCATTGCTTATGTGGAAGGAACTATAATCAGCTATATCTCCTCTTGCTAAGAAAAGGAATTATTCCTGTATCTTGTCCTGGCATCCACGTGTCCTCACGGTCTCTTATGATGTGACTCAACAGAAGTTGCGGGCATTTTTTTTCAGACCTAGAAGTTGACAGTTTACCAAACAGGTATTCTGTTTCCTGGCACCAAGTCAGAAATATGTTCCCAGGTTAGTTAAAAGGTGTCGAGGTGTTCGATTTCAGGCGTCTAGCTGATGCTCAGCCCATGCAATTAGGAGCCCGGCCAGAGCAAGTAAATCTTTTAGGCTCTTGGATGATGAGTCACGAATTCCATATAAGGCCCAACTTCCAGCCCCTGGCACTGAGGATGATCATAAGTGTTTGATCCTCTTGAGGCAGTTGCATTTTTACAGGGAGTTCTAACAAAAATAGATTACTCCACCCTGATTATGAGGAAATGCTTTGCTTAAGAAGCAGAAGTAGAGAGGGGGTGGAAAGGCTTGATGGCTGAAAGAAAACACTTGTTTGAAGTTTTCTTTTTCTTTTTCTTTTTTTTTTTGAGAAGGAGTTTCCCTCTTGTCACCCAGGTTGGAGTACAGTGGCGCTATTTTGGCTCACTGCAAACTCCGCTTCCTGGGTTCAAGTGATTCTCCTGCCTCAGCCTCCCGAGTAGCTGGAATTACAGGCACCCGCCAGCACACCCAGCTAATTTTTGTATTTTTGGTAGAGATGGGGTTTTACCATGTTGGCCAGGCTGGTCTTGAACTCCTGACCTCAGGTGATCCACCTGCCTCGGCCTCTCAAAGTGCTGGGATTACAGGCGTGAGCCCGGCCTAAAGTTTTCAAATGTAAAATAATTTTGCTAGAAGACAAACAATGGTTACGAAATTTTTATGGGAAACTTTTTTTTTTTGAGATAGGTTCTCGGTCTGTCATCCAGGCTGATGCGATCACATCTCACTGCAGCCTTGATAACCCAGGCTCAAAGGATCCTCCTGCCTCAGCCTCCCGAGTAGCTGGGACTACAAACACATGCCACCACATCTGGCTAATTTTTTTTTCTTATTTTTTTGTAAAGACAGGGTCTTGCTATGTTGCCAAGGCTGTTCTCAAACTCCTGGGCTCAAGCAATCCTCCTGCCTCAGCCTTCCAAAGTGCTGGAATTACACCTGTGAGACTCCATGCCCAGCTAGGAAACTATTTTGAATTTAGCATTCCCTACCCACTCAGATTATCGATCAAATGTGAAGCAATCAAAGAGACACTATTAAGATGTGCACAGGAGAACTTGGAAGATGTATTCCACAAGTACTCACCATGAAAAAGATGCTCAGGAACTACTTTGACAAAACAAAAGAGGAATTAAAGAAAGGGAAAGAAATTGGATAAAAAAAAAAAAAAAAAGAAGGACTGGCTGGGCACGGTGGCTCACTCCTGTAATCCCAGCGCTTTGGGAGGCCAAGGTGGGTGGATCACCTGAGGTCAGGAGTTTGAGACCAGCCTGGACAACATGGCGAAACCCTGTCTCTACTAAAAATACAAAAAATTAGCCGGGTGTGGTGGTGCATGCCTGTAGTCCCAGCTACTCAGAAGGCTGAGGCAGAAGAATTGCTTGAACCCAGGAGGCGGAGGTTGCAGTGAGCCAAGATCACACCAGTGTACTCCAGCTTGGGTGACAGAGCAAGACTCTGTCTCAAAAAACATATAAATAATTAATTAATTAAATTTTTAAAAGAAGGATTGTCAAGTCTCACCCAGAAGATGTGGCATGTAATGTTGGGGGTGGGCGGTGCAGGAGAGATAGGGGCCGGGGGAAGGAGGGCGGGGAAGGGGGCCGCAAGCTGGAGCTGTCAAGCGGCAAAATTCTAAAGCCAGAAGACTGAATTTCTGTTTTTATGGGTCCATACCTGTCCATTTGAGGAGTCCTTTCTTGAATAACTCAAAGCTCTTTGAAAATATTTATCTCCCTTGATCCTGGTCTCTGATCCGTCTTATCTTCCATAGCTACTGAGTCACCTAAGTATCCACAATGGTGTTTCTACTGGGAGTTGACACCTGCAATTTCCAGCCCCTGGCCTAGCAGTTTCCCAAGGGGTCTGTCTCTGATCATCTTATAGGGGATTTCCTACTGCAGGGAAGAGAGAAGTGCTGAGTTCAAAGTTTTTGAGACTGTGGTGACTGATTTTCTGAGCCAAAAGTCAGGACACAAGACGAGACTGACAAGTAAGAATGGACTTTCCTGAATCAAAGGGAGAGACTTTAAAACCAGACAGCCCTTGCAAATTCAGGGTGTATGGCTACCTTGATTGTCCTCAGGGACCTGAGGGACAGAGACAACAAAGTGGAAGCCCCCACCTGTGGGGCCCCCTCACCTGGGCAGGGTGAAGGCACACGGTGCTGTAACAGGCTCATAACTGGGCACTCCCTGAAACCCATAGTCTTTAGGGATTTCTTCGCTGATTCTGCAGATAAGAGCCTGAGACAGACGGGGCACAGGTCTGATAACTCAGCCTTTTTTGTCCCTAACAATTTAGCTCCAACTCCACACTATGTGCCCCACTTAGCGAACAAGTTCTTCAGATGGAAGGCAGTTGAGCAGCTTGGAGTTGTCACTCTGGTATGTCCTCACAAGTAGGGTGGGTGGGGAGTGGGGTGTCTTACCTCCATCTTAAGTCACTTATCAAAGTATTTCTTCCTACCACTTGGAACAGTCTATCTGATTTTTCATTTTATTATTTTTCTTTTTTTTTTTTTTTTTGTATAGACAGGGGCTCACTACATTGCCCAGGCTGGTCTTGAATTCCTGGCCTCAAACAAGCCTCCCACCTCGGCCTCCCAAAGTGTTGGGATTACAGGCATGAGCCACCATGTCCAGCCTAGTCTAACTGATTTAAAAACACACACGCACACACACATTTTAATTGACAGATAATAGCTGTACATATTTACAGGGTAGATAGTGATGTTGCAATATACATAATGTACAGTGATCAGGTCAGGGTAATTCCTATATCCACAATTGCTGGAAAAGGAGGAGAGACCCAAGAGACCAGTCTTTTGGACTTGAGTTTTTGAAAATATATATTTAATTTTAAAAACTTGCAAAACAGGCCAGGCACGGTGGCTCACGCCTGTAATCCCAGCACTTTGGGAGGCCGAGGCTGGCAGATCACCTGAGGTCAGGAGTTAGAGACCACCCTGGCCAACATGGTGAAATCCCATCTCTACTAAAAATACAAAATTAGCTAGGCATGGTGGTGCATGCCTGTAATCGCAGCTACTTGGGAGGCTCAGGCAGGGGAATTGCTTGAACCTCGGAGGCAGAGGTTGCAAGTGAACTGACATCATGCCACTCCACTCCAGCCTGAGCAACAGAGTGAGTGAGACACAATCTAAAAAAAAAAAAAAAAAAAAAAGGCCAGGTGCGGTGGCTTACCCCTGTAATCCTAGCACTTTGGGAGGCCGAGGTGGGCGGATCACAAGGTCAGGAGATTTAGACCATCCTGTGAATGGTGAAAACCCCGTCTCTACTGAAAATACAAAAAAAAAAAAAAAAAAAAAAAAAATTAGCCGGTCCTGGTGGTGGGTGCCCGTAGTCCCAGCTACTCCAGAGGTTGAGGCGGGAGAATGCCGTGAACCTGGGAGGCGGAGCTTGCAGTGAGCTGAGATTGCGCCACCGCACTCCAGCCTGGGAGACAGAGCGAGACTCCGTCTCAAAAAAAAAAAAAAAAGGCTGGGTGTGGTGGCTCATACCTGTAATCCCAGCACTTTGGGAGGCCGAGGCAGGCAGATCACAAGGTCAAGAGATTGAGGCCATCCCGGCTAACAGGGTGAAACCCCGTCTCTACTAAAAATACAAAAATTAGCTGGGCGTGGTGGCACGTGCCTGTAGTCCCAGCTACTCGGGAGGCTGAGGCAGGAGAATCGCTTGAACCCGGGAGGCGGAGGTTACCTTGAGCCAAGATTGCGCCACTGCACTCCAGCCTGGCGACAGAGTGAGACCCCGTCTAAAAAAAAAAAAAGGCAAAACAGATACACAAAAATAGAAAATCTAAATGGTTCTATATTTATTTATTTATTTAAGTCTCTCTCGGTCGCCCAGGCTGGAGTGCAGTGGCGCGATCTCGGCTCACTGCAAGCTCCGCCTCCCGGGTTCACGCCATTCTCCTGCCTCAGCCTCCCGAGTACCTGGGACTACAGGCACCCGCCACCACGCCCGCCTAATTTTTTTGTATTTTTAGTAGAGACGGGGTTTCACTGTGATAGCCAGGATGGTCTCGATCTCCTGACCTCGTGATCCGCTGGCCTCAGCCTCCCAAAGTGCTGGGATTACAGGCGTGACCACCGCGCCAGGCTATATATATATATTTTTTAATCAAATCTATAATAGAGGCCTTTCCTAAAAAGAAAAAAAAAGCCTTTTGAACATATATATTGCAGAATTACATAGGATTACATTTCTACACCAATTATATTGCCATTTAAAAATATTTCTCACTTGGTTACATAAAAATATTATTCTACAACAGTGTAATATGCATTTTTTATTCTGTCTTGAACATCTTTTTATATATTTATTGTATATTTGTGTTTTTTCCTTTATGAATTGCCTGTATAACATCCTTAACCCAATCTTATTTTGTTTAATTTTGAAGTCCTTTTATTTGTATGTTAACTATATTAAGCTTTGATCTGGCATATTTGTTACAAATTTTTTTTTCTATTAGTTTGGCTTTTGATTTGGTAAATGACATTTTAAAACATGCACTTGTTTTTAAATTGTATTTGAAATTTTTAAAAAAGAATAGTCTACCTGAGAAGACCTCTGAGAAATATGATTTTCCATCTCATTACAGCTCCATGACACTGTAGCGTGCCTTACAGATTGGCACCGCTAACAATTATACAGCGAGCTGGTCTACCTCTCAATGCCTCTTGATCATGAGCTCTCAGGAAATGACAGCTCCGGGAATTAATATCCAGAAGACGAGTCTTGGCCGGGCGCGGTGGCTCACACCTGTAATCCCAGCACTTTGGGAGACCGAGGCAGGCGGATCACAAGGTCAGGAGAGCGAGACCACCCTGGCCAACATGGTGAAACGCTGTCTCTACTAAAAATACAAAAATTAGCTAGGTGTGGTGGTGTGTGCCTGTAATTCCAGCTCTTTGGGAGGCTGAGGCAGGAGAATCGCTTGAACTAGGGAGTCGGAGCTTGCAGTGAGCCGAGATCGCACCACTGCACTCCAGCCTGGCGACAGAACGAGACTCTGTCTCAAAAAAAAAAAAAAAAAAAAAAAAAAAAAGCCTCTGGGCCCACCTCTTCTCTTCAGGGCTCCTACAGATAACACATTGGTCCTGGCCACTAAAATGTCCCAATGCCAGCTGAGAGAGGAAGATAAGAACTGGCAGGCCCCCCTTTCCTCTGGAAGTTGTGTCATATTCTGTGAACTTGGCCTCAAGAGGGAGATAAGAACTGGGTAAGGCTCACTTCCCCACGGAGATGGTTTCATGCCCAGTAGACACTTGCCCCGAGTCCGGAGAAGCAGTAGGTGCTTTGCAAATATTTACCTAGCTACATGGCAACCGGGCAGTGCTGTCAGAGTTCTGTGTCATTTCTGGGCCACACGCCCCACACCCCATTCTCTCCTCTTGCATTACAAAGGCTACGTCCCTTCCCACAGCTACCTTTCCACAAGTGTTCAAAACCACGTGAAGGTCAGACTCCTTTGATTTCTAAATCATGCCCTTAGCCAAGATTGAACTTCCAATAGAGAAAATTTTAGGTTTGCTTTCATGTGTGAGGTGAAATGACTGTCCCTTTGTCAGAGGCGTTTGAACCAGAGCAACTCCATCTTAAACAGGAGCTGGGTAAAATAAGGCTGAGACCTACTGGGCTGCATTCCCAGATGGTTAAGGCATTCTAAGTCACAGGATAAGATAGGAGATCCGCACAAAACACAGGTCATAAAGACCTTGCTGATAAAACAGGTTGCAGTAAAACAGTGGCCAAAACCAACATGGCGAGGACAGTGTCCTCTGGTGGTCCTCACTGCTACACTCCCACCAGCGCTATGACAGTTTACAAATGCCAAGGCCACATCAGGAATTACCCTGTATGGTCTAAAAAGGGGAGGCATGAATAATCCACCGCTTGTTTAGCGTATCATCCAGAAATAACCATAAAAATGGACAACCAGCAGCCCCCTGCGCTACTCTATCTATGGAGTAGCCATTCTTTTATTTCTCTACTTTCTTAATAAACTTCCTTTCACTTTACTCTATGGACTCGCCCTGAATTCCTTCTTGTGCGAGGGTCTCTTGGGGTCTAGATCGGGACCCCTTTCCGGTAACACCTTAGATTTAAGAGTTCAGGTTCATCCTTCCTTTGTCAGGAATAAGTATCATAAGCAACACAGCCTTTGCTTGTTGCTAGTTCTTTTTTTTTTTTTTTTTTTTTTTTTTTTTTTTTTTGAGATGGAGTCTCGCTCTGTCACCCATGCTGGAGTGTAGTGGTGTGATCTCGGCTCACTGCAACCTCCACCTCCCAGGCTCAAGCGATTCTCCTGCCTCAGCCTCCCCAGTAGCTGGGATTACAGGCGCGAGCCACCGCGCCCGGACACAGCCTCTGCTAGTTCTGCCACTGATCTTCCCACAGGTACATTAAGGAAACTCAGTGTTTGGCGCTTAAACAAATCAACAACAACAAAGCATGGTAGAGAGAAGGCCCAGAGCACCACCCTCCCACGCTGTCCCTCGGGAGCTGAGGGGAAAACACCCAATGCCTTCAGAGACCAGCTGCACTAAACCGCCTTCTCAGAATGAGGGAGGAGCTACTGGCTTGGGGATGTCTCCAGAGCACATTTCTAGAAACACTTGAGAATACGAGAGAAAGAGAATACGAGAGGAAGGCCTAGGTCACTGAAAGCACAGGGAGCAATTTAGGCTTTTGTCTCGGTGTAAATGACATCGTGAGCCGTGCCCCCGCCCCTGCTCGTGGCCTGAGGGCCTGGGGGAGGGCGGGCATCCACCTGGCACTGGCGGCCTCGGCCTTCACCGCCGCACGCGCGGCGCCATCTTGTGGCCCATCCCTTTCCCAGGCTGGAAGCAGCCACAGGCCGATTCTTCCAGCCTTACAAATTCTGTGAAGTACAGTATTTAGACTATTTTTGATTAGTTTAAGAAAACAGCATGGCCAGGCGCGGTGGCTCACGCCTGTAATCCCAGCACTTTGGGAGGCCGAGGCAGGTGGATCACCTGAGGTCAGGAGTTCGAGACCAGCCTGACCAATATGATGAAACCCCATCTCAACTAAAAATACAAAAATTAGCCAGGCGTGGTGGCACACGCCTGTAATCCCAGCTACTCGGGAGGCTAAGGCAGGAGAATCGCTTGAACCCGGGAGGTGGAGGTTGCAGTGAACTGAGATGGCACCACTGCACTCAGCCTGGGCAACAAGAGCGAAACTCTGTCTAAAAGAAAAAAAAGAAAACAGCATTATGCTCAACAAATTAACGCAGAAACGGAAAACCAAATACCGCATATTCTCACTTATTAAGTGGCAGCCAAACATAGGGTACACATGGGCGGAAGGAGGGGAACAAGACACTGGGGACTCCCAGAGGGGAGAGGGAGGGAGAGGGGAAGGCGTGAAAAACGACCTGTTGGTTACTGTGCTCACGACCTGGATGAGGGCTTCAGTCACACCCTAAACCTCAGCATCCCGCAATATACCCTTGTCACAAACCTGCACATGTACTTCCCAATCTAACATAAAGGTGAAATTTTAAAATCAAAAAAGAAAGACAGCTTCAGCTTCCACTTCTTAGTTGAAAAAGAGTCCATGACACATGTTCCATTGGATCTAACAGTTAATAAATATTCACTGCGACTTCCCCCACCCCAAAGTCAGCAATCATAAAATAGGAAGAAAATTTGAGGAAGGAGTTTGACAGTTCTGCAAAAATAAAAAATAAAAAGTTTTTTAAAATGAGAATTATGTACGGGCACAGTGGCTTATGCCTGTAACCCCAGCACTTTGGGAGGCCAAGATGGCTGATCACTTGAGGTCAGGAGTTGGAGACCAGCCTGGCCAATATGGTGAAACCCCATTTCTACTAAAAATACAAAAATTAGCCAGATGTCGTGGTGTACCTCTTTGGTCCCAGCTACTCAGGAGGCTAAGGCAGGAGAATTGCTTGAATTCAGTAAGTGGAGGTTGCAATGAGCCGAGATTGTGCCACTCCATTCTAGCCTGGGCGACAGAGCTAGACCCTGGCTCAAAAAACAAAAACAAAAATTATTTTTCTTTCTTTGAGAAAAAAAACCTTCATCTAGAGGTTCAAGCCATAAGACTATGTTGTACCAGCTCATGTCTGAATGGTTTAAAAGGGAAGAGAATTTTTCCAGACATAGTCATGGATAGGTTGGTTTCAGACAGACAACCTGAAATGAACCTGAGGTTTGGGTTTGTCTATTAACTGTTTTTATTTTGAGAAAGAATTAACCAGAGCTGTCTGCATGAATCTTAATGTAAACGATGCAGCTGTCCCATTTACTTAGGAAAAAGATCACACAATTGACTGTACCTGCAGAACCAGGGCTGAGACAAAGGTGTCCTTGTTTTCAGTCCCCCAGTCTTATCTGTAGATCTTAGTGTTCAATTTAGAGAGTAAACCACACTGGTTAGGAGTGGTGTGAAGTCTGTATGTTGTGTGGTTATGAAATCAAAGCTGGGGTCTGTGGCTGGGTAGTGGTGGGGGGTGGCACTGGAGTTCCAAGCCACTGGCTATCTTTACAACCTTACAGCAAATGGACCCTCAAATCCAACAACCTGTGAAACACCGCAGCCCCCTAAAGCTACAAACACCCTTCTGTGTTTTTTTCACTCTTCTCTTTGTTGATGGTGATACCACAGTGTCAAGTTTACAGAAGATGCTCAGTGAATGGTCTTGTGTGGTTGGCTGATCTCATCACAGCATCAGAAGTACTCAAGGCCTGGGACATAATGGCCCTTGAAGATATACCTGCTTGATCGTATTTTTTTTTTCAATTAAATCAGAATTCCCTTTGCTCAAACTCTTTTTTTTTTTTTTTTTTTTTTTTGAGAGAGAGTCTTGCTCTGTCACCCAGGCTGGAGTGCAGTGGTGTGATCTTGGCTCACTGCAACCTCTGCCTCCTGGGTTCAAGTGATTCTCCTGGCTCAGCCTCCTGAGTAGCTGGGACTACAGGCGCGCACCAACACACCCAGCTAATTTTTTATTTTTTTTTTTTAGTAGAGATGCAGTTCACCATGGTAGCCAGGCTGGTCTCGAACTCCTGATCTCAGGCAATCCACCCACCTCGGCCTCCCAAAGTGCTGGGATTACAGGCGTGAGCCACGGTACCCGGCCGCTCAAACTCTTGAGTTCTTTTGTTCAGATTAAGATTGCATGATCTGGCCAGGGACAGTGGCTCATGCCTGTAATCCCAGCACTTTAGGAGGCTGAGGCGGGTAGATCACTTGAGGTCAGGAGTTTGAGACCAGCCTGACCAACATGGAAACCCCTTCTCTACTAAAAACACACACAAAAAATTAGCTGGGCGTGGTGGTGCACACCACCATGCCCGGCTAATTTTTGTATTTTTAGCAGAGATGGGTTTTCACTATGTTGGCCACACTGGTCTCAAACTCCCGACCTCAAGTGATCTGCCCGCCTCGGCCTCCCAAAGTGCTGGGATTACAGGCGTGAGCCACTGCTCCCAGCCTGTCCCATATTTTGAGCTATGCTCACCCCTGGCTTCCAGAGAGCTGAGGTCAGAAACCTTCCTGACACTCAAAGTCACTTTCAGGCTCCCCCATTATTTTCCTGAGAGTTTATTGTGACACCTCATGATCATCTAACATAGTTTGGATGTTTGTAGCTGAAGTCTCAGCTACTCAAGAGGCTGAGGTGGAAGAATCACTTGAATCCGGGAGGTGGAGGCTGCAGTGAGCCAAGATTGTGCCACTGCACTCCAGCAGCCTGGGCAACAGAGCGAGACTCTGTTTCAGACAAATAAATAAATAAAAAAGATGAGACAGAGAAGCCTCAGACAGCAGCATGAATCAGGTGAGAGACGGAGGTGGGATGTGGCTGGCGGGCTGGAGAAAAGTGAAATCAAAGGCCATGTAGTGGCCGGGTACGGTGGCTCACACCTGTAATCCCAGCACTTTGGGAGGCCCAGGCAGGAGGATCGCTTGATCCCAGGAGGTCAGGGCTTCAAGGATTCTAAGCATAATCTATTGGTTAGAATCAAGTCATAGTTTTCACCTGCACTCCAGGGAAGAGGTTATACAAGGGCTCATTGGTAGTCACCTTGAGGGTGTCTGCGACAAGTTTATTATCATACTATCATTCTAGAAAAGCTCCTATATCCCAATTCAGACTGAAATTTTAAAAATCTCTTTATAAAGAGCAGCAGTTCCATCCACCTGATCATTTTGTGCCTTTATCTTGCAGGACAGACTCAGGTTTTGGGGTGTCTAAAGCTCTCACATGTGAAATGCCCTCTTAAAACCACAGTCTGGCTGGGCACGGTGGCTCACACCTGTAATCCCAGCACTTGGGGAGGCTGAGGAGGGCAGAGTTGCCTGAGGCCAGGGGTTCGAGATCAGCTTGGCCAACATGATGAAACCCCATCTCTGCTAAAAATACAAAAACTAGCTGGCTGTGGTGGTACACACCTGTAGTCCCAGCTACTCGGGAGGCTGAGGCACAAGAATTGCTTGAACCCAGGAGGCAGAGATTGCAGTGAGCCGAGATCATGCCACTGCACTTCAGCCTGGCAACAGAGCAAGACTCTGTCTGAAAACAATAAAACAAAAAAACAAAAAACCCTAGTCTGCCAGGTATAGGTGTTCCTCTGCTGTGCTCTATGCATGGGCATGGGTTTGTGTGTTTCTAATATCCTTTGTAAAGATGCATTTGGCATTTAGCAGTGCATCAGGCTAGTATTGCCTGGGAGGGCAATTTACAGGGGTTTCTGATCCTGTTAACGAATGGCATCTGCTAGCTCAGAGCTCATAAGGATGATTTCGATTACTTTCCCTAAACTTATAATTTTAATTTTCCTACACCTTTACTTCATGTGTTAGTTTGCTGGGGCTGTCATAACCAAATACAACAGACAGGGTTTTAAGGGTGGCTTAAACAACATGATTTATTGTCTCACAGTTCTGGAGGCTGGAAGTCCAAGATCAGGGTGTCGGCAGGGTGCATTTCTGAGGTCTCTCTCCACAGTGTGCAGATGGCCACCCTCTTGCTGTGTCCTGGATGTGGCCTTTCCTCTGCGCTTGGGCATCCCTGGTGTCTTTGTGTCCAGATTTCCTCTTCTGATAAGAACACCCTCATATTGGATTAGGACCCACTTCGAAGGCCTCATTTTAGCTTCATCACCTCTGTAAAGGGCCTGTCTCCAAACACAGTCAGATTCTCAGGTATGAAGGTTATAGGACTTCAACATATGAACTTTGTGGGGACAATTTCCTCTCTCCTGCCCGCTCGCAGTGACTTGGAATACTCTTGAGGGTGTCTCCATCTATTTTGTATTATATTTCATTATCTGGAAAAGCTTATTAATCTAAGCATTTTGTTCCTGCCTCAGGAGCTTGTCATATAAACAAACACCTAGACAACTAGCAATTAATACAATAAAGCAGGTAACGAGCTGCTGGTTTGATAATGTGGACTGTAGCTCTCTAGAAGCTCAAAGAAGGAGGACAAAGGTATAGTGGCTACATTGATCTGGGAGGGCCTTAGGAGCAGGAGGGGTTAACAGATGCTCACATAAGGCCTAATATTTAAATAGGGGTTCTAAACCTTAGCAGTACATTAGAATTATTTGGGGGATGTTTAAAACTACTGGGCCTTGGCTGGACGCGGTGGCTCACGCCTGTAATTCCAGCACTTTGGGAGGCCAAGGCAGGCGGATCACCTGAGGTCACGAGTTGGAGACCAGTCTGACCAACATGGGGAAACCCCGTCTCTACTGAAAAATACAAAATTTAGCCGGGTATGGTGGCACATGTCTGTAATCCCAGCTACTCAGGAGGCTGAGGCAGGAGAATTGCTTGAACCCGGGAGGCAGAGGTTGTGAAGAGCCGAGATTGCACCATTGCACTCTAGCCTGGGAAACAAGAGTGAAACTCTGTCTCAAAACAAACAAACAAACATAAACAACAAACTACTGGGCCCAGCTGGTGGCTCATGCCTGTAATCCCAGCACTTTGGGAGGCCGAGGCAGGCAGATCACCTGAGGTCAGGAGTTTGAGACCAGCCTGGCCAACCACTGCCAACATGGTGAAACTCCATCTCTACTAAAAATACAAAAATTAGCCGGGTGTGGTGGCAGGCACCCATAATCCCAGATACTCAGGAGGCTGAGGCAGGAGAATCACTTGAACCCGGGAGGCAGAGGTTGCAGTGAGCAGAGATCATACCACTATGCTCCAGCCTGGGCAACAGAGGGGAGACTCCCTCTCAAAAGCAAAAGACAAAAACAAAAACAAGAACAAACTACTGGGCCCCAGAGATTTCAGTTTAATTGGTCTGGATGAGTATTCTCCATTGATTAAGAAAAAAATACTCTCCAGGTAATTAGAATACACAACTAGGGGCCGGGTGCAGTGGCTCATGCCTGTAATCTCAGCACTTTGAGAGGCCAAGGTGGGAGGATCCTTAGGTCAGGAGTTTGAGACCAGCCTGGGCAACATAGCAAGACCCCCCCCCCACCCCACCCAATGCACATACCTGTTTCTATGTGGAAAAAAAAAAAAAAGAAAGAAAAAGAAAAAGAGTATATGGCCGGGTGCTGTGGCTCAAGCCTGTAATCCCAGCACTTTGGGAGGCCAAGGCAGGTGGATAACGAGGTCAGGAGATCGAGACCATCCTGGCTAACACAGTGAAACCCCGTCTCTACTAAAAATACAAAAAATTAGCCGGGTGTGGTGGCGGGCGCCTGTAGTCCCAGCTACTTGGGAGGCTGAGGCAGGAGAATGACGTGAACCTGGGAGGCGGAGCTTGCAGTGAGCCAAGATCGCGCTACTGCACTCCAGCCTGGGAGACAGAGCAAGACTCCGTCTAAAAAAAAAAAAAGAAAAGAAAAAGAATATACGACTAAGACTGAGAATCTCTGGCCTAAATGAACAGATGAGCTTAAGGAGGGCATTCATATTCCAGGTGAGCAGGAAGCTTCGAGGGGAGGCAGCAAGCAGGAATGCCGCGGATATTGAAAGAACATGGAGAAGGCAGACTTGCTGGGAGCTGAGGATGTTTTAAGGGTCGTGGAAAATAAGTTTACACAGATCAGAGTGAAATTACATGGGGTATATGGAATCTATATCAAACAAGAAAGGCAGGAGGAAGATAGAAGCAGGTTTGCAAGCCCAACTGGTTGGTTATTACAGACAGACAGATGTGAGGTCCTGAGGGTACTGGATGGAGATGCAGAAAGGATCATAGAGAACACTGGGAAGGGTCCCGGCGTTGTGGATCATGCTTGTAATCCCAGCACTTTGGGAAGCTGAGGCAGGAGGATCTGCTGGAGCTCAGGAGTTCAAGACCAGCCTGGGCAACATGGCAAGACCTTGTTTCTGCTAAAAATAAAAATAAATTAGCCAGGCGTGGTGGTGTATTCCCGTAGTCCCAGCTATTCAGGAGGCTGAGGTGGGAAGATAGCTTGAGCCTCGGAAATTGAGGCTGCAATGAGTCATAATCATGCCACTGCACTCTAGCCTGGGAGACAAAAAAATAATTTTAATTTTTTTTTTTTTGAGATGGAGTTCCACTCTTGTTGCCCAGGCTAGAGTGCAATGGTGCAATCTCGGCTCACTGCAACCTCTGCCTCCCAGGTTCAAGCAATTCTCCTGCCTCAGCCTTCCGAGTAGCTGGGATTACAGGCACCCGCTGCCACACATGGCTAATTTTTGTATTTTTAGTAGAAATGGGGTTTCACCATGATGGCCAGGCTGGTCTCAAACTCCTGACCTCAGGTGATCCACCCGCCTTGGCCTCCCAAAGTGCTGGAATTACAAGCGTGAGCCATGGCACCCAGCCGGATACTGAATCTTGAGCCCAGTGTCATCAGGACAGAAGGCAGAATCTCTCTAGTAGCTAAGTCCTGGGATAGTGTCTTTTGCGTCTCCAAAGTTTTCCCAGTCTCCGTTCTCTCTGTGGAGCTTACACACTTTGCGCCAATTTCCTGAGGCACCTCACATCCTTCCAGTACATGCTTTCATTAACTAGAGTTAGTTTCTGTTGTTTGCAACCAAAACTGCTTAACTGATTGACCATACTTCTTCCCATTATTCGAGTTTTGGGGGAGCATTATTTTGCATTCAAAATCCAGAAGTGAGCAAATCATACCCTGGGATCTTTGTCTCTCCTTTCTTAAGACTCATTCGGGCCTAGCGCGGTGGTTTATGCCTATAATCTCAGCACTTTGGGAGGCGAAACCCCGTTTCTACTAAAAATACGAAAATTAGCCGGGCGTGGTGGCGGGTGCCTGTAATCTCAGCTACCAGGGAGGCTGAGATGGGAGACTTGCTTGAACCTGGGAGGCGGAGATTGCAGTGAGCCAAGATTGTGCCATTTCACCCCAGCCTGGGCTACGAGAGCAAGACTCCATCCCCCCTTCCCCCCTGCTGGCCAGAAAAAAAGATTGATTTGGACATTCTCATTTTGATTTCAAAAAAGACAAGTCTGTGGCCACCAAGGGTGATGAGAGGTGGCCATATGATGTCCTTTTCACTCCTCATACCTATAAACTCATTGAGAGGTACCAGTGACCTTTCTGCACGGACTGTCTTTTAAATTGTCTGTTTACAATGCTGTATCCATTTATACTCCATTTATTTCCCCATGAGGACCTGAGAGTGGCCAGGCATCGTGGCTCATGCCTGTAATCCCAGCACTTTGGGAGGCTGAGACGGGAGGTTCACTTGAGTCTAGGGGTTCCAAACCATCCTGGGTAACAAAAAAAATGAAAGTAAAATCAGCCAGGCATGGTGGTGTGTGCCTATAGTCCCAGCTACATCTGAGGCTGAGTTGGGAAGATCGCTTGAGGGCAGCCATTGGAGGCTGCAGTGAGCTATCATCATGCCACTGAACTCCAGCCTGGGCAATAGAGCATGACCCAGTCTCCAAAAAAAAAAAAGTATTTGAGAGTATTCCTTCCTCTCCATTCCTTCTTTCCTATGTCCCTACCTGGCGCTTTTTTTTTTTTTTTTTTTTTTGAGACAGAGTCTCGCTCTGTTGCCCAGGCTGGAGTGAAATGGCATGATCTCGGCTCACTGCAACCTGTGCCTCCTGAGTTCAAATGATTCTCCCGCGTCAGCCTCCCGAGTAATTGGGATTACAGGTGCCCAGTACCACGCCTGGCTAATTTTTGTATTTTTAGTAGAGACGGGGGTTTCGCCATGTTGGTCAGGCTGGTCTCGAACTCCTGACCTCAATTGATCCTCCCGCCTCGGCCTCCCAAAGTGCTGGGATTACAGGCTTGAGCCACTGCGTCCAGCTCCTGGTGTCCTCTTTCTTTTTTTAGACGGAGTTTCACTCTGTCGCCAGGCTGGAGTGCAGTGGCCCGATCTCGGCTCACTGCAACCTCCGACTCCCTGTTTCAAGTGATTCTCCTACCTCAGGGTCCCAGGTAGCTGGGATTACAGGCATGTGCCACCACGCCCAGCTAATTTTTGTATTTTTAGTAGAGACGAGGTTTCACCATGTTGGCCAGGATGGTCTTGATCTCCTGACCTCATGATCCACCTGCCTCGGCCTCCCAAAGTGCTGGGATTACAGGCATGAGCCACCGTGCCCGGCCTCCTGGTGTCCTCTTTCTTTGGTGACTTTTTTTTTTTTTGTAAAGAACTAAGAACTCCAATGCTCTCAGCATTACCAATACATGCAAAGGAGGCTATGCTTCTTTTGTAAGTGAGAGAAACTCAGTCTGGCTTTGGAAGCTTGAGCTTTCATTGACCTGAGATATATGCCTTTCACAAGGTGGAAAACAAATGTTCCTAAAAGCAATAACATTACTTGACATTTTTGTAGCATTTTTTGTCTTCAAAGCAATTTGTAGACATTAAAGAATAAGCTGTCAGCCCTTCCCAGATAAGAATCATTGCCTAAGTGCTTAGTACAACCCTGTCCTGTTCCTCAGACCTAAACAGTGGGCCCTGCTTATAAACTGTGGCTGAACAAAATGACTTCTTAGGAGGAGAAAACAGAGGGAGGGTGGGGGAATGAACTCAGTTGGAAGGAAGAAAAGAAGACGACCTGCAATTTATCTAGTACATATTGTGAGTCTGGGGTGACAGTTTGGAGAACACTAGGGCTTCAGCCTGGCTCTGTGCCTGTTGCCCAGGCTGGAGTGCAGTGGCACAATCTCGGCTCACTGCAACCTCCACCCCCCAAATTCAAGCAATTCTCCTGCCTCAGCCACCTGAGTAGCTGGGATTACAGGCACGTGCCAAAATGCCTGGCTAATTTTTTTGTGTTTTTAGTAGAGGCAGAGTTTCACCATGTTGGCCAGGCTAGTCTCAAACTCCTGACCTCAGGTGATCCACCCACCTTGGCCTCCAAAAGTGCTGGGATTATAGGTGTGAACCACCGCGCCAGGACTCTTCCTTTCTTTCCTTTTTATCTATTTTTTTTTTTTGCGCGGGGAGGGGAGGCGGTGCAGTGGTGAGATCATAGCTCACTGCAGCCTTGAACTCCTGGGCTCAAGCGATCCTCCTGCCTCAGCCTCCTATGTCGTTAGGACTACAGGCATGCACCAGCATGTCTGGCTAATTTGTCTTTAAAAAAAAAAAACAACTTTTTTTAGAGACAGGGTCTTACTATGTTGCCAGTATCATTTTATTTTGGTTTTCTTTGATTAAAAAAAAAAAAAAGACGCACCTGAATGCATTCTCTCTTTAGGTCATTCATGCCAGACTTTTTGCCTAACCGTATAACTTTTAGCTATTTCTTCACTACATTTTTGTTACGATGTCTTAGATTTCTGTTCCTCAATCTTTTTGTTTGTTTGTTTTTGAGATGGAATCTTGCTGTTTCAGGCTGAAGTGCAGTGGCACAATCTTGGCTCACTGCAACCTCTGCCTCCCAGGTTCAAGTGATTCTCCTGCCTCAGCCTCCCAAATCGTGGGGATTACAGGTGCGCACCACCACACCTGGCTAATTTTTTGTAGTTTTGGTAGAGACGGGGTTTCACCATGTCGGCCAGGCTGGTCTTGAACTCCTAACCTCAAGCAATCTACCTAACACGGCCTCCGAAAGTGCTGGGATTACAGGCATGAGCCACCATGCACGGCCTAGTCCTCAAGCATCTTTCTTTTTTTTTCTTTTTTGGAGACAGAATCTCACTCCGCTGCCAGGCTGGAGTGCAGTGGCGTGATCTCAGCTCACTACAACCTCTGCCTCCCGGGTTCAAGCAATTCGCCTGCCTCAGCCTCCCGAGTAGCTGGGACTACAGGAATGCACCACCGTGCCCGGCTAATTTTTTGTATTTTAGTAGAGACAGGGTTTCACCATGTTGGCCAGGATGGTCTCGATCTCCTGACCTTGTGATCTGCCCGCCTCGGCCTCCCAAAGTGCTGGGATTACAGGCGTGAGCCACCGTGCTCAGCTGTATCTTTCTAAGGTGTATACATACCTGCACTGTGTGTGAGTGGTAAGTTTACCGTGATTTATTCTTTCCTTAGCATGAGCCAAGGACAACATGTGAATAAAACAATGTTTAGATCCTGCTACAGGGAAGGTTTTGGGAAAGTCAACATCTTTGGGGAGCAGTTTCGTCATCTGTCAAAAAAGAAAAGAAGGGACTGGGCGTGGTGGCTCACACCTGCAATCCCAGCACTTTGGGAGGCTGAGGTGGATGGATCACCTGAAGTCAGGAGTTTGAGACCAGCCATGGTCAACATGGCGAAACCCCGTCTCTACTAAATATATATATATATTTTTTTCTTGACTCTGTTAAAAAGAACGTGCCTTTCATATACTGTACAGAAGTCTGCCAAGCAGAATGATTGACAATAGCTACCATTTGTCTGTGGTCTGTGACGTGCAGTGCACTACGCTACAGGTTTATGAGTTATCTCACTTAACGGACTCCAGAAAACTCTTCTTACCCTTTGCAGGTAACAAACTTAGTCAAAAAAACTGTCACATAAGGTTTCTGCTTGTTTTTTAACGATCCTCAATCATCAAAAAGAGAAATGGTTGAGATGAGAAAACCTTACGAACTCAGAAAATGCAAATCAAATGAGACTCTTGAAAACAAAACTGGCAAAGCGTGCTGTCTCCAGGAGGCCCATGCGACATGACACCACCTGCAGGACAAAGCACATATTTACCCCAACCCTTCAAAGGCAACTGCAGCAGCGTCTTCTCTTCAGAAGGAAGGACTGCAGGGACACGCTGAGGAAGCACACAGGTTTCCATTTTCTGAATTCAAGCACAAGCCTGAGGTACCTCAAAGAAAGAACAAATGCCAGTAAAATAAAAGGACGATTCAAAACTTAAGAGCTGGGCGCGGTGGCTCACGCCTGTAATCCCAGCACTTTGGGAGGCCGAGGCGGGCGGATCTCTTGAGGCCAGGAGTTTGAGATCAGCCTGACTAACATAGTGAAACCCCATCTCTACTAAAAACACAAAAATTAGCTGGATGTGGTGATGCATACCTGTAATCTCAGCTACTCAGGAGGCTGAGGCAGGAGAATTGCTTGAACCCAAGAGGCAGAGGTTGCAGTGAGCTCAGATCGTGCCACTGTATTCCAGCCTGGGAGATAGAGTGAGACTCTGTCTTAAAACAGAAGTAATTTTTAGGCAGGCATAAATTATACTGGGCTTTAGGAGAATATTTCCTGCATAGTATCCTATATTTCCTGATATTAACATCAGGAAAATCAACTAAAATTAAATACACTAAGTAAACAATGCACAAAAATCACATTTTAGAAAGTGACCTGGGAGTTGAAGTCCAGTTTCCCCAGGAAAATGTGCGCAAAAGTGTAATGAGAATTGTACAGTTTATGAACTCTCTGCCAAATTTTGCTTGGGTCTTTTTATTTTATATAGTCTGAATATAGTTTTCTTTTTTGTGGGGGATGGAGGCTCGCTCCGTCACCCAGGCTGGAGTGCAGTGGTGCAATCTCAGCTCACTGCAACCTCCGCCTCCCAGGTTCAAGTCATTCTTCTGCCTCAGCCTCCCAAGTAGCTGGGACTACAGGCGCCCACCACCACACCCAGCTAATTTTTGCATTTTTAGTAGAGATGGCATTTCACCATATTGGTCAGACTGGTCTTGAATTCCTGATCTTAGATGATCTGCCGGTCTCGGGCTCCCAAAGTGCTGGGATTACAGGCATGAGCCACCACATCCAGCCTAGTCTGAATGTTTTCAATTGGTATCAAATATATTTACTTTTTTTTTGGCTTGGTAAAATGCCATCTTGACAAAGCCAGCTTCCAGAGCTAAACTTAAAATCAACCCTTGATACTAAATCCATCATAGGTGGATAGGCACCTGTAAGCAGTTTAAAAAAACAAAAGTATTTCTGAAGTACCTGTACATTAAACAGTTGAGGCCAGGGGCGGCGGCTCACACCTGTAATCCCAGCACTTTGGGAGGTCGAGGCAAGCAGATAACCTGAGGTGAGCAGTTCAAGACAAGCCCCATCAACATGGAGAAACCTCATCTCTACTTAAAATAAAAAATTAGCTGGGCATGGTGCCACATGCCTGTAATCCCAGCTACTCAGGAGGCTGAGGCAGGAGAATCGCTTGAACCCAGGAGACAGAGGTAGCGGTGAGCCAAGATGGCACTATTGCACTCCAGCCTCGGCAACAAGAACAAAACTCCATCTCAAAAACAAACAAAAAAACAACTGGCCCCACAAATGGCAATTGAGGCCAGACACAGTGGCTCACACCTGTAATCCTAGCAGTTTGGAAGGCTGACGCAGGAGGATTGCTTAAGGCCAGGAGTTTGAGATCAGTATGGGCAACACAGGGAAACCCCATCTCTACTACTTAAAAAAAAGAAAAAAAGGGCATCTGATGTACTGAATACAAAGATCAAGTACTGAGGACGAAGATTACCACCGGATACCACGTCGGGCAGGTACCCTGGGAAATTGTGATGTCTGTATCCTTCAAATTGCTTGGTGATGTCAACTAATACAGAAAGAGCTCTTAGTAGAATGTCTGGCACATCATAAAGCCTCGGTAAATTAGGCACAATTGATATCATCACTTAAAAATGGTGGCCTTTTAAAAACGCCACATGGCAAAACCCCATCTCTACAAAAAAATACAAAAATCAGCTGGGCGTGGTGGTGTGCACCTGTAGTCCCAGTTACTCAGGAGGCTGAGGCAGGACTGCCTGAGTCCAGGAGATTGAGGCTGCAGTGAGCTGTGATTGTGCCACTGCACCCCAGACTGGGCAACAGAACAAGACTGTCCCTAAACAAAACAGGGCGGGCGTGGTGGCTCACACCTATAATCCCAGCACTTTGGGAGGCCAAGGTGGGCAAATCACTTGAGGATCAGGAGTTCCAGACCAGCCTGGCCAACACGGTGAGACCCTACCTCTACTAAAAATATAAAACTCAGCTGGGTGTGGTGGCATGCACCTGTAATCCCAGCTACTTGGGAGCCTGAGGCAGGAGAATCGCTTGAACCAGGAGGTGGAGGTTGCAGTGAGCCGAGATCGCACCAGTGCACTCCAGCATGGGCGACACAGCGAGACTGTCTCAAAAAATTAAAATTAAAATAAATAAATAAAATAATGACTCGGTAGAAAAGCAACGTATTTCATAGAAAGCATTTTATTATCAGAACAGTATGGTTTTCCTATGTTTAAGATCTATTTATTATGTTATTTTTACAAGTAGCAAAGTCCCTCCGTTTTTTTCCCCAGGTGAATGTACATGAATATAAAAAGTGGCTGATGTCCACACTGCTCGGCCCACCCGCATCAGGGTCGGCAGGAAGTTGCGGCTGATGAGCAGCTCCCGGAGCGGTGGGGCGGGGCCTCCTCTTCTCCAGTTCCAGTACGCTCATCAGTCGTCCTCCTGCTGATTTCTCTTCTGTCAAAGAAAACCAAGGGGATGTTAAAATAGCACATGCTCCTTGGGATATCTGCTCAGCAGGTGTAATTTTCTAGAGGTCTTGGCAAAGGATGTAATTAAAAATTGTCATGGAAAACCATGCTTTAATTCATTAAACTAGTTTATCACTTTGACTCCTGAGCAAATTATCCTCAGGTATTTGAGTATTTTCTTCTCTTTCTTCCATACATACAAAAACTCCTACACAGAAATCCACACAAAAATATAAATATTCACATCCCCTCTTGAGTAAAATCACCACCAGAGCAGAGACCTGCTCTCCTTACAGCCTTCTAACAATATACACACTTTCTTCAAAGTTACAAGTATTTTGAAAAATGTTCAAAAGGCATGTACAGCATAAAAACATTTTCTGTCATTCTAATCAATAAATTATGCCTTCAGCTCCTATTTCATATTTAATTAGAAAATGCTCTAACTCAGTAACTTGGTTCCATTCATAACCATCAAAGTCTAGGTGATACAGGATTCCAATGAAATATTATATAAAAGCCAATTTGAAGGTCTATTTGAAAAGATGGCCAGCATACTAAATGCACATAGACTTTACCAGCTTAAGGAAGTCTATTAGCTTGTGAGCGTCCTCCCCAGTAGAGAGGTCTACAAAGTCCTTGGGTAGCCGGTAACTCAAATAGGGGCTGGGCTGGACTGTCACTTCACTGTTTGTGCAACGGAAAGCTGGGGAATCCTGTACAAAGAAGAAAAAGGAGAAAGAATATCAATCATTTATTTTTAGGCCTATTCTGTGAACTAAAAAAGAACCTAGCAAAACAATTTCAACTCCATGTTTTCCTCTGTACTTGATGAGGAGAAAGGAAGATGCTTAAGTTAAAATGAGCCGGGCACGGTGGCTCACGTCTGTAATTCCAGCTGGAGTGCAGTGGCTCACTGCAGCCTCGACCTCCTGGGCTCAGGTGAACCTCGCACTTCAGCCTCCCAAGTAGCTGGGACTATAGGCATGCGCCACCACGCCCAGCTGAGTTTTTTAAATTTTAGTACAGAAAATATCTCAGTATGTTGCCCAGGCTGGTCTTGAACTCCTGAGCTGAAGCAATCCTCCTGCCTTGGCCTCCCAAAGTGTTAAGATTATAGGCTAGGTGGGCTGTTGCACCCATGCCAAACTATTTTTTTTTTTTTTTTTGAGGCAAAGTCTCGCTCTGTTCTCAGACTGGAGTGCAGGGGCACGATCTCTGTTGCCCAGGTCTCTGTTGCTCACTGCAACCTCTGCCTCCCAGGTTCAAGTGATTCTCCCACCTCAGCTTCCCAAGTAGCTGGGACTACAGGCGCGCGTCACCACGTCCGGCTAATTTTTGTATTTTTAGTAG
The DNA here is from genome assembly GCF_000001405.40 of Homo sapiens. Taxonomy (NCBI): domain Eukaryota; kingdom Metazoa; phylum Chordata; class Mammalia; order Primates; family Hominidae; genus Homo; species Homo sapiens. Next base: position 12,248,943 of record NC_000010.11, on the reverse strand, counting down.
AGATAGGGATTTCACTATGTTGGCCAGGCTGGTCTCAAACTCCTGACCTCAGGTGATCTGCCTGCCTCGGCCTCCCAAAGTGCTGGGATTACAGGCATGAACCACCATGCCCAGCTGCCAAAACTAATTTTTTTTTTTTAGACGAAGTTTTACTCTTGTTGCCCAGGCTGGATGCAATGGAGCAATCTCAGCTCATCGCAACCTCCACCTCCCAGGTTCAAGCGATTCTCCTGCCTCAGCCTCCCGAGTGGCTGGGATTACAGGCATGCACCACCATGCCTGGCTAATTTTTTTACTTTTAGTAGAGACGGGGTTTCTCCACGTTGATCAGGATGGTCTCGAACTCCCAACCTCAGGTGATCCACCTGCCTCAGCCTCCCAAAGTACTGGGATTACAGGTGTGAGCCACCGCACCTGGCCTGTTTTTTTTTTGAGACGGAGTCCCGCTCTGTCACCCAGGCTGGAGTGCAATGGCGTGATCTTGGCTCACTGCTGCAACATCCGCCTTCCAGGTTCAAGCAATTCTCCTGCCTCAGCCTCCCAAGTAGCTGGGATTACAGGCATCTGCCACCATGCCCAGCTAATTTTTTGTATTTTTAGTAGAGACGGGGTTTCACCATGTTGGCCAGGCTGGTCTCGAACTCCTGACCTCAGGTGATCCACCAGCCTCGGCCTCCCAAAGTGCTGGGATTACAGGTGTGAGCCACTACGTCTGGCCCAAAACTATTTTTTAAAAGATATAAAATGCTCACAAGAGAACACTGTGAAAATCTCAGGACATGTAATTGAGTATGTAGTATGATTTCATTTATTTACAAAGGTCTATGCATGTGTTTAAATGCACGTTATGTATCAAAATATAAACACTGGTTCTCAAGGTTCTCAAATCATAAGTGATTTTATAATTTTCTTTAAGAATGAGCACGTTACTTTTTTTTTTTTGAGACAGTCTTGCCCTGTCGCCCAGGCTGGAGTGCAGTGGCACAATCTCGGCTCACTGCAAGCTCTGCCTCCCGGATTCATGCCATTCTCCTGCCGCAGCCTCCCAAGTAGCTGGGACTACAGGCGCCCGCCACCACGCCCGGCTAATTTTTTTTTTGTATTTTTAGTAGAGACAGGTTTTCACCGTGTTAGCCAGGATGGTCTCGATACCCTGACTTCCTGATCCGCCCGTCTTGGACATGTTACTTTTATGGGCAGAAAACAGCACTACAAAGTTGTTTCAGGAAAGTCTGGCTGTGAAGCTGGCAGGAAAGGAGAGAGTGGCTGGGTGAAGAAACCGGGTTGAACAATGTTTTGTTTTTTTCGGATGGGAGGTATCTGAGCATGACTAAATCCGGATGGACAGAGTTGATAGAGAGGAAGAATTGCAAAAAGAGCAGAGGGCATCTGGAGAAAGAGGAGGAGGACACAGTGTCCTGAGGGGGAGGTAAGAGAGGAGGACACAGTGTCCTGAGGGGGAGGTGAGAGAGGGGGACACGGTGTCCTGAGGGGGAGGTGAGAGAGGAGGACACAGTGTCCGGAGTGGGAGGTGAGAGAGGAGGACACAGTGTCCAGAGTGGGAGGTGCGAGAAGAGGACAGTGTCCTTAGGGGGAGGTGAGAGAGGAGGACACAGTGTCCTGAGGGGGAGGTGAGAGAGGAGGACACAGTGTCCGGAGTGGGAGGTGAGAGAGGAGGACAGTGTCCTGAGGGGGAGGTGAGAGAGAGGAGGACACAGTGTCCAGAGTGGGAGGTGAGAGAGGAGGACAGTGTCCTGAGGGGGAGGTGAGAGAGGGGGACACGGTGCCCTGAGGGGGAGGTGAGAGAGAGGAGGACACAGTGTCTGGAGTGGGAGGTGAGAGAGGAGGACAGTGTCCTGAGGGGGAGGTGAGAGAGAGGAGGACACAGTGTCCGGAGTGGGCGGTGAGAGAGGAGGACACAGTGTCCAGAGTGGGAGGTGAGAGAGGAGGACAGTGTCCTGAGGGGGAGGTGAGAGAGAGGAGGACACAGTGTCCTGAGGGGGAGGTGAGAGAGGAAGACACAGTGTACTGAGGGGGGAGGTGACAGAGGAGGACACAGTGTCCAGAGTGGGGAGATGACAGAGGGGGACACAAGTGTATGGAGGGGGGAGATTAGACTCAGGAAGGGACGGACAAGCTTGTAGGTGTGATGAGAAATCAACTGAGGGAATTCTCATCAGTGGGTTCCCTTTTCCGGGAAACAGCAAGTTAAATCATCTGCTGAGAGGAAGGAAGGAATGATGGGAGACTGAGAAGCATCAAGGCGTGAGCCAGTCACCGTGGAAATGGAGGAGAAAGCTGACAGGAATCCGCTGGGCTGCACGTGTGTAACTTCTCTGTCGGCCTCAGCAGCTGGGGCTGGGGTCAGAAGGAACAGATGCATGAGCTGATCTGGGACCAAGATTCCTCCAGGTGGGTGTGACAGAAGAAGCTCAGAAAAAGAACTAAAAAAACTGATCAGATGATCCTGACTTCTGTATATAAAGTTAAGTGGGGCCCCCTTCTTTGACCACCACCATGGGCAGGTTAGCTATTAGTAAAGCTGTGTTACACTCTGCGCTTCCCAAGGGTCCTGGCCATTGCCGCCTACCTATGCGTCTGAAGAACAAGCAGTCAGTCAGTAGACTGGAAAGGTTTACATTGTATCTGTCTTAAAAATGTTGTACCTGCTCTTGAGCGTCAACTTCACTAAAATCGCCGTTTAAGTTGTTCTCAGATATCAGTTCTTCCCAGGTGAACAGCAGTGAATCTGTGACTTCACCAAATGGATTAAAGTCAATGAGCCACACCTTCCCCTGTAGCACAGAGAGAGAAAAAACAAAAACAAACATCTTCTGTACTCTGTCTTCTGAGAAAGAAACACTTTTTTATTCTGAGACAGGGTCTCATGCTGTTGCCCAGGCTGCAGTGCACTGGTGTGATCACGGCTCACTGCAGCCTCGACCTCCTGGGCTCAAAGGATCCTCCTGCCTCAGCCTCCTCAGTACCTGGGACTACAGGCATGCACCACCACATGCAGCTAATTTTTGTATTTTCTTCGAGACAGGGTCTCGCCATGTTGCCCAGGCTGGTCTTGAACTCTTGGGTTCAAGCAATCCCCTCACCTCAGCCTCCCAAAGTGCTGGGATTACAGACATAAGCCACGTCGCCCGGCCAGAAAGATATTCTTCATATTATTCTAATCTTAAAAATCTTCTCACTTATTTCAAAAGATCATCTGTCTATATCCCATCTGAGAAAGGGCCGCCTGTCTGAATAGACAGAGATCTAAAGGGAGGGCCCCCTGTGAATGAAGAGAGAAGGGACCCAGTAAAGCTCTGCCTAAGAGATAACGTTCCAACTCCAGCCTCAAGCCACAGTGGAACTTTAAGTCAAAGATTCCAGCAGGGCCGGGCATGGTGGCTCACACCTGTAATCCCAGCACTTTGGGAGGCTGAGGCGGACAGACCACTTGAGCTTAGGAGTTCAAGACCAGCCTGGGCAACATGGTGAAACCCCATCTCTACAAAAAAATATAAAAATTAGCTGATTGCGGTGGCAGACGCCTGTAGTCCTAGCTACTTAGGGGGCTGAGGTAGGAGGATTGCTTGAGCCCAGGAGGTCAAGGCTACTGTGAGCCGTGATCAAAACACCACACTCCATCTATCCTGGGTGACAAAGCAAGACCGGGTCTCCAAAAAAAAAAGAAAAAAAGATTCCAGCAGGAAAGGGAACTGTCACCCAAAGGCGAAGGGTCTGCGGTCTGACCAAAGCGTCTTCCCGGAGCCTTCAGTGCTCTGTTCAGGGGGAGCCGGACGGAGCCAGGCAGTGCCTGCGACTCCAGAGAGCAGCGCTTCTGACTCGGGAAAGGCTGCTGCCAAGGGTGGATTTTTTTACCATATGCAAGGATGAAGATGCTGGGTTTTTTTCTGTGGTTTTTGTTTGTTTTTTGTTTTTTGTGAGAGTCTCACTCTGTTGCCCAGGATGGAGTACAATGGTGCGATCTCGGCTCACTGCAACCTCCGCCTCCTAGGTTCAAGCGATTCTCCTGCCTCAGCCTCCCGAGTAGCTGGGATTACAGGCATGCGCCAGTATGCTTGGCTAATTTTTGCATTTTTACTAGAGACAGGGTCTTACCATGTTGGCCAGGCTGGTCTCGAACTCCTAACCTCAAATGTCCTCCCACCTTGGCCTCCCCATGAGCCACCGTGCCCAGCCTGAAGATGCTGTTTTCTTTCTATGTGAATGTGGTAAGTGTTCCGTCTGTACAATAGAGCTTGACAGCATATGAAGGGGACGTAAAAAAAAAAAAAAAAGAAAAAAGAAAAAAAAAAAACCACCCCAACCTCTGAAAGAAATGTCTACCTTGTCCTGTTCTGAAACCACAGGTGGGCAATTTGGTGACTCTCCTCAGGGAAAGGTCACCTTTGAGCTGGGGGCACTGTGCTGAGGTAGGGCTGGGGCCTCTGAGCAGAAAACAGCCAGTGCTGACACGCACAGAGCGGGGGCACAGGGGCTGCGCCGCCAGGAATGACGGCCACGGCATCCGATCACGAACACCTATTGACACGAAGTGGATGGATGTTTCCTCGAAAGGTTTATCTTTGCTCCTTTTCACTTTTCTCACTGAAACATTCATATATTTGTGCCATCTGGTTAATAATGAATTTGTTTTTTTCTATAAATGTGTTGCCGCCATGTCCTGAGCGGGTGTGTGTCTGTGAAATTCCAAGCAACAAGACCGCTGAGCCAGCATGCCTAATATCTGGCACTGTTTCTCAGCTGAGCGAGAGCAAACTGTTAAGAAAGATGCAACATCTAATTAGGACTTGCTTCAAATACCAGAACCTCCAGTTAAGTGGCACAGGCCTGTCGCAGGATGTTTTCGCAGGATGTTTTCAGCACAACCCATTTAGGTAAGTTCCTCATTTTATACAAGCCCCAGGAGAGGCCCTGCAAATTTCTCACCGCTTGAGTTGTTTCCTCACCTCCATTTGGCACCCACTTCTTCATTCCTGGAACTATGTGAAACAGTATCAGCCGTCAAACAACTTCTTGGTAATGATGTCAACTTTATTTTGGAGAATACTGCTAAGATGTCTTCAATATATGTCATGATACAAAATGGACATTTTCTAACCTCCAAATCTTTTCTACTTGACTTTCTTTTTTTTTTTTTTTGAGATGGAGTCTCGCTCTGTCACTCAGGCTGGAGTGCAGTGGTGCGATCTCTGCTCACTACAACCTCCGCCTCCCGAGTTCAAGTGATTCTCCTGCCTCAGCCTCCCAAGTAGCTGGGACTACAGGCGTCCGCCATCACGCCCAGCTAATTTTTTGTATTTTTAGTAGAGACAGGGTTTCACTGTGTCAGGATGGTCTCGATCTCCTGACCTCGTGATCTGCCTGCCTCAGCCTCCCAAAGTGTTGGGATTACAGGCGTGACCCTCTGTGCCCAGCCTCTACTTGGCTTTTTATAGTCAGTAAAACTAACTCATTTTTTTTTAAACAATCACACTTTTAATATAGGAATATGCCACAATGCAAAAAACCAAACCACATTTTTTCCTTTTTTTTTTTTCACTCTTGTTGCCCAGGCAGGAGTGCAATGGTGAGATCTCGGCTCACTGCAACTTCCCCTTCCTGGGTTCATGCAATTCTCCTGCCTCCACCTCCTAAGTAGCTGGGACTACAGGTATGCACCACCACGCCTGGCTAATTTTCTATTTTTGGTAGAGATGGGGTGTCACCATGTTGGTCAGGCTGGTCTCCAATTCTTAAACTCAGGTGATCTGCCCGCCTAGGCCTCCCAAAGTGCTGAGATTACAGGCGTGAGCCACTGTACCCAGCCCAAAACACATTTTTAAATGAAAACAAACCACCACTGTTAATTGGTAGTGTACTCTGTAGCTCAGAAGCTATCCTCTAGTACAAAAAAAAAGAGTTTAAGTAAATTAAAAAAAACCCAGCTGTAACTTCTATAAACTAGGAGGATCAGGATCAGGATTTTATAACTTTTTTTTTTTGAGACAGAGTCTCGCCCTGTTGCCCAGGCTGGAGTACAGTCGCGCGATCTCAGCTCATTGCAACCTCCTCCTCCTGGGCTCAAGTGGTTCTCCTGCCTCAGCCTCCCAAGTAGCTGGGATTACAGGCGCCTGCCACTGTGCCTGACTAACTTTTGTATTTTTAGTAGAGACGGGGTTTCACCATGTTGGCCAGGCTGGTCTTGAGCTCCTGATCTCAGGTGACCTGCCTGCCTCAGCCTCCTAAAGTGCTGAGATTACAGGTGTGAGCCACCACGCCCGGCCATAACATGTTTTCATGTGACATCTCAAGCACAAACAGCCTGAGAAGTTAATTCTGCTTTGAGGCAATCCAATAAGCAAAGAGCAGTCGGACTAACTGTCCTTGTACCAGCTGACTGTCTCCCTGCCCCGATCAAGCTCTAGGGACCAGACACTGTGTTAGGCACTGGGCATGAAGATCGTAACACAAAATCGACTCCTTCCAAGAGCTCAGGCTTGAGCAGAACACACATCTCCACTTCCCCAAAACAGAACCAAAAGCCATCCAACAATGGCAATGTGCAGGGTATTTTGCTTCAAGAGAGGCAAGAACAGGGAACTGTGAGAGCGGAGAGGCACACAGGAGAGCCTGCCTACATGTGCGAGGGAAGGCTGGAAATGCTTCCCAAAGGACCTGGGCACCTGAGGGATAACAGAGATGCCCTGGGAGGAGGGTGGTGTTGGCAGGAAAAGCGGACCACTTAACAAGAACGACGGCTCTCACGTACAGAGGCCACGCCACGACCGCCTGTTGCGGGAATAGGTTATTTTGGCTGGAGTGTGAGATATGTGAGGGCTCCTGAAATACAGCCAGCTATGTAACTCTCAAGGCTTGCTGTTCCAAACAGGATGAAACACATGCTACGACAAGCCGTTTAAAAGTGTAATTGAGATTATGAGAAAGACCGGGAAATCCCCCGGGGCCAGAAACAAGAACCCGAAGAACAGAACTAAGCCTATCAACTCTAGTGCTGTGGGAACCCGTGGGAGGGTCTCCTAGCAGCCTGGCCACAGGAAGGGAATCAGAACTCAGACACAAACTCCAGAAGGCGACAGTCTCAGGAAAGGGAGTGTGAGGAGACAGTTCTAATGACAGGGCAGGACACAATGACTGTTCTTCTCTGAATGAGTTTTGAGGAACATGGTAGAAGCAAATGAAAAACCCAAAATTTTGGATCTTTGGGATTCTCACAAACAAAAGAACAAACAAAAAGAACAAGCTCACTGAAGATGAACTCAAAGTAAATAAATAAACTGATTTACAAAACAAAAAAGAAACAACCAACCCGGATGAGAGTCTGTAAACGCAACAGGCATTAAAGCCCCAAGAACTCTGGAAATCATCATCAATCTGAAGGACAGTATAAAATAAATATATTGATGCTAGACAAAAAGACTAAGGGGGATCCATATCGCATACCAAACACGCAAAGGAACAAAAGCCAAACATCCAATATTGAAATGGAGAACAAGAAGTTACAAAAGAACTGGACAAAAACCATGGGGAAGTATTTTTTAAAATGATGGCTGAAATTCAAAAGCCAGAAAAGAAACAAATAATCTATGTGATCTCGTTCACAGGAAAAGACTAATGACAAAGGCCTAATCTCTGTAATACATAAACAGTGCCTCTATTTTGAGGAAAATGAGACAATAGAAAAAAGTGAAAAAGACATGAAGCAATGGTTCACAGAAACGACCCTTAAATATATGAAAAGATAAACTTCATCCTCACTTACTAAGAAAAATAGAAGTAGAAATTATACTGAAACATCATTTCTCTACGAAACCCCAAAAACCCTGAAGAGTGTAACCCTATATTGTAAAGGCAAGCTCTGAGGAAGCCTGCAGGTACTGTGATGCATTCCTGGGGGGATCTGGTCAGGTGTAACCTCTACCGAGGGTAAACTGCAACATTAAAATACATTTCACTTTTGAGCCAGCAATCCCGCTTCTAGGAATTCACCCTGTAGATTCACCTGCAGCGTGTGAAATGACACACGTACGGGATTATTCACCATGGCAGACTGCAGAAGACCAGACACAACCTGGTGTTCACTGCTAGGCATGACATGTATGATCATGGCTCACTGCAGCCTCAACCTCCCAGTCTCAAGCGATCCTCCCAACTCAGCTCCCGGGAGTAGCTGGGGCTACAGGCACAAACCACCACACCTGGCTAATTTTTATGTAGAGACGAGGTCTCATTATGTTAAGCCCAGGCTGATCTCAAACTCCTGGGCTCAAGCCATCCTCCCACCTCAGCCTCCCAAAATGCTGAAAATACAGGCGTGAGCCACAACAATGGCCTAAAGCCCCTCTTTCTAGTAACTCTTAACAGACACCATCATCTTTGAAGACAAAGAGGTGAAAATATAGTGATGTCTTTTGACGTAAGAGTTAAATGAACAGTTAACAGTTATTCTGGGACATGATCATATGGGCCATATCTTTTTGTCCAAAGATGATTCGAAGATGTCCAAAGGTGATTCAGATTCAAATGACTGTCTCACTTACAATGAGGCTGATCTAAGCACGGAGAGAGAATGAGAAATATTCTGCTTGTGTGTAGGTGACACGGGAAAACGCATCTGCTAGCTTCTTCACAATGTCAAAGAGCACTCAGCACCAAACAGCATTTAGTGACCTAAACTTCTTAATAAAGATGACATGTCTTGGACAGTGAAATCTCTGCTCTAGTAATTCTTCATTAAGTCAGCAGTAAGTAACTTTACTAGTAAGTCACTTTAACTTTTTCCTTACAGAAGTTTTCATCACTTTTAAGATTTAAAAAATAAACTAATCCTCTTCTGTCTAAAGATAAAAGTAACTCAAACTTTGAGTCACTTTTAGTTGACTAAAAATAATAATAATAATTTTTTTTTTTTTTTTTTTGAGACGGAGTCTCGCTCTGTAGCCCAGGCTGGAGTGCAGTGGCGCGATCTCGGCTCACTGCAAGCTCCGCCTCCCGGGTTCACGCCATTCTCCCGCCTCAGCCTCCAGAGTAGCTGGGACTACAAGTGCCCGCCAACACACCCGGCTAATTTTTTGTATTTTTAGTAGAGACAGGGTTTCACCGTTTTAGCCAGGATGGTCTCGATCTCCTGACCTCGTGATCTGCCCGTCTCGGCCTCCCAAAGTGCTGGGATTACAGGTGTGAGCCACCGCGCCCGGCCCCTTTTTTTTTTTTTTAAAAAACAGAGTTTCGCTCTTGTTGCCCAGGCTGGAATGCAATAGCACAATCTCAACTCACTGCAACCTCCACCTCCTGGTTCAAGTGATTCTCCTGTGCCTCAGCTTCCCACGTAGCTAGGTGGCATGCGCCACCATGCCCGGCTAATTTTGTATTTTTAGTAGAGACAGGGTTTCTCCATGTTGGTCAGGTGGGTTTCGAACTCCCGACCTCAGGTGATCTGCCCGCCTCAGCCTCCCAAAGTGCTGGGATTACGGGCGTGAGCCACTGCACCCGGCCAAAATAATTATATAAATATCAAGTGACAAACTCCTGGCCAAATTTAAGTGTGCAAACTGAACTATTTTAAGCAGGCCCTGACCTCTGACACAAATGAGACATAGGACGTAAGTGCTCATTTACCTACCTGTTCAATAAAGAATCCCTAAACCATGGTACACAATGATTTCAGCTATTAAGTCCTCTAATGTTAGGTATATTTTAAGGGGAGATTTTTGACCATGGTGAATTTCAATCACCTTAGTTGATGTGAGAAAAAAAAAAAAATTTGAGGAGGGGATGGGGTCTCACTCTGTCACCCTGGCTGGAGAGCAGTGGCGCAATCAAGGCTCACTGCAGCCTTGCATTCCCGGGCTCAAGTGATCCTCCCAGCTCAGCCTCTTGCATAACTGGGACTACAGGCAAACACCACCAGGCCCGGATATTTTTTTTTTCTCTTTTGAGGCAGAGTCTCGCTCTGTTGCCCAGGCTGCAGCACAATGGCGTGATCTCCGCTCACTGCAATCTCTGCCTCCTGAGTAGCTGGGATTTCAGGCACCCACCACCATGCCTGGCTCATTTTTTTGTATTTTTAGTAGAGACGGAGTTTCACCATGTTGCCGAGGCTGATCTTGAACTCCTGACCTCAAGTGATCCTCCCACCTCGGCCTCCCAAAGTGCTGGGGTTACAGGTGTGAGCCACTGTGCCTGGCCTGGGCTAATTTTTTTTTAATTTTTAGTAGAGATGAGGGCTCACTATGTTGCCCAGGCTAGTCTCGAACTCCTGAGCTCAAATGATCTCCCTGCCTAAGCCTCCCAAAGTGCTGGGAATACAGGCATGAGCTGCTGCACCCAGACAAAATATTTTTTGAGCATGGATCCTTCACACACATAACAAAGGCATGCTCTGCCTGCTTATAAAACCAGCTCTTATATTAAAGCATATCAGAAAGAGTTTTTACTTACCCTACTGTCTCTGTATATATCGAACACAACTGTAAAGGAGAAAAAAAGTCAGTTATTAATGAACTAATATTTCACAATGTAAATCTCCTTTTGAAAATTAAAGTACATTTTAATCAAAGACAGCAGAATATAAATGACCCTGAGGACTTCATGCTTCTAAACCTCAAAACTTCAAACATAAAAAGGCATCCTGCAATGTTTTATTTATATAACTTTGCTTTACTGTTCTCTGTTCCCCAACCATAAGCCCCTATATTTAAAAATTCAAACCAAACGCCAATATCATCTCAACCAGTTCCCCGTTATAGACTGGTTCTATGGGAAAGATGGGAGTCACTGAGCAAAGTACTAGTGAAACGGGCATCAATCACTGATCTGGTAGAATGCAATGAGTAAAGCTTATAATAGAAAGCATAAAATCTAATGAGCCTTGAAGCATGATTCATCTTATTTTAAGTCAAATCTGCCACAGAGCCCAGTCTTGGCAAGTAGAGAAATTGTAAATCATAGCAGATATAATTTTCAGATGTATGAAAACTCTTACACAATATACTTTCAATTCCTAAAAACAACCCACAAATGTTTACTTTGTAACTGGTGCTGTCTTTGATCATTCAAAGAAGCTAGAAAGGTAGATAGACTTTGTTCTCTGTAGATAGCCCCTTTGAAATACACAATCAAACATCTAAAACAAGACAGGGAACTGACTTAGCAGTAAAAATAGATTTTAGTTAAATAAGATGAAATTAACATGGCTGGTGCGGTGGCTCACATCTGTAATCCCAGCACACTGTGAGGCTGAAGTGGGCGGATCACTTAGGCCAGGAGTTCAAGACCAGCCTGGCCAACATGGCGAAACTCCATCTCTACTAAACATACAAAAAATTAGCCGGGTGTGGTGACGTGCACCTGTAGCCCCAGCTACTTGGGAGGCTGAGGCAGGAGAATCACCTGAACCCGGGAGGTGGAAGCTGCACGAGCCGCGATCGCACCACTGCACTCCAGCCTGGCTGACAGAGTAAGACTGTCTCCAAATAAAAATAATAATAATAAAAAGAAATTAACATACAAACTATCAAAAATAACAAATAATAATATAGTAAAATGCTTACAATACAGTATTTCAAATCTAGTTATTAGGATACACACCATAGTAAATAAGGTCCAGTAACAATGTATATTTCATTTCATTTTACTGGATCAATAAAAAAATACTCACAGTCTTCATCTAAGAATTTGTACTGTATGTGTTTCTTGAAAAAGTCTTGTATGCATCTGCGAATTTCTTCCTTTTGTTTAGAAATATGATCATAGTATTGTGTGTAGTCTCTTTGAGAAATACCTGACAAGAAAATATTTTACATCCTGTTATTATACAATATTCTTTTCAAAAACATCAATACGTGATTTAAACATTTTGTGGAAAGAACCATTAAAGTAGATTAGAAGATCACCCTGATGGGTACGGCATTACACACGACCCAGCTGTAAGGATTCATATGAACAGGTGAATCCTGAAGTCCTACATTGCCATGTCTTCTTACTTCTGGAAGAATTTACTTTTTGTTTTGTTTTGTTTTGTTTTGTTTTGTTTTGAGACGGAGTCTCACTCTATTGCCCAGGCTGGAGTGCAGTGGCACGATCTCGGCTCACTGCAACCTCTGCTGCCCGAGAAGCGATTCTCCTGCCTCAGCCTCCCAAGTAGCAAGGATTACGGGCGCCTGCCACCACACCCAGCAAATTTTTTTTTGTATTTTTAGCAGAGATGGGGTTTCACCATCTTGGCCAGGCTGGTCTTGAACTGATCTCATGATCCACCCACCTCAGCCTCCCAAAATGCTGGGATTACAGGTGTAAGCCACCGCACCTGGCCTTTTTTTTTTTTTAGAGACAGTGTCTCATTCTGTTGCCCAGGCTGGGGTACAGTGGCACAATCATAGCTTATTACAACCTCCACTTTCTGAGCTCAAGTGACCCTCCCACCTCAGTCTCCCGAGTAGCCGGGACTACAGGCATGTGCCACCATGCCTGGCTCATCGTTTTATTTTTTGTAGAGACGGGGTCTCAGTACATTGCGCAGGCTGGTCTTGAACTCCTGGCCTCAAGCAATCCTCCAGCCTTGGCCTCTCAAACTGTTGGGATTACAGGTGTGAGCCACAGCACCTTGCCCATGGAAACAGTTATTTTCATTTAGTAAAATGGAAGGAATTCAAAGTCACAAAAAGTCTTGTTATGTAAAAAATTAAAGCAGCAATTCTAAACCTGCACACATAATCAACTGCTGCTGCTTTGCTTTCTTCCAAAGAGTCTCTGCAAATTGGTATTCTCTTCCACTTTCTTTGGGAAAATATCAAATATTCTTCAAGAGATGCCTGCCATATTCATACTGTATTGCATAGAAGCAGTCTATTTTTCTTGTTCATACATGCTACTTGGCCTTCACAGCCTGCTCTCGTTCAAGCCATGGAAAAGTAAACATTCCTTTTTTCAGAGTGACTTGCTGACAAGATTCCAAACACACTAACTGGACTATTACACAAACTCCCTGAATTTGCTCCAGTCCTAGGGAAAAGTTCTCTGCTCTGAAATACGGGCTTCCTATTCCTGAATCTTGTGCCAACAGGACCCCCCGCTTTAGAGTACTTACACTGCAGCTTCTTCAAGAATATCGAGCAATATGAGAAATGTGAACACCCCAACTTTCTTTCAGGTGGGTTCATACATTTCAACATCACATTCAATGCATCAATAGTGCTGATGTGATTGTATTCAAATTACACTTTTCTAGGTTGAAGATAAATTTTACTTCATGGAAAATATGCATTAACAAAATAAAGAACAAATTATCTTCAATATTTAAGTTAAATCAATCATAGCAAACAGAACAGTAACCTGAGAGGAAAGAAAATGGGTGACTTAGAAGAATACACTTACTTGTCCACATATTTTCTCTTGCTAGAATAATAAACAGTGCCCCAATAATAGAAATAAAGGTTCCAAAACTTGGCTTTTTATGACGCTTGAAATAAGCAGACTATTGCTAAGTACTGCTTAGGAAAATTCCATACACAGAGTTCCTGATTCCTAAATCAGGAACAGTGACAACCACCATTTTTATCTCTGGAATCCAGACAGCCATGATTATCTGACAATACCGTTTCCTGCGGCAAGTGACTCTGGGCTCAGGATTCCTGTCAACACAGCATTCCAGAGAGTCAGTATCAACTGGTTAGAGGTGGCATCTGAGATGAAAACAGATTGACATCCCTGTCCTAATTACTGGAAATTTACTTCCAACAAAAGCTTGTTTTCTTTTAAAGATGACTTTGAAGGATAAAACAAACAAACAAACAAAAACTCACCAATAAGCTTGTTTTCCTTGACAAAACATCGAAACTCAGCCCCAGGAATCAATTCACACCATTTTCGGAGAACGAGCTGTAAACAAAAGAAAAAATATTTAATATAACACACCTATGTGGTAAGGTCTACTAGGCAATTTTAGGTCAACACTGTATCTTAATGATTGCCATTATCAAATGGTTTTAAAAAAAGAGGCATATGACATTCTTGGCCGGGCATGATGGCACATGCCTGTCAGCTACTCAGAAGGCTGAGGCAGGAGAATCACTTGAACCCGGGAGGTGGAGGTTGCAGAGAGCCAAGATCACGCCATTGCACTTCAGCCTGGGAAACAAGAGCAAAACTCCATCTCAAAAAAAAAAAAAAAAAAAATTCTTCACATGAGATGTAGGGAATAGAGTTGTGATCTATTATTCTGATAACCACAGGAAAATTGTGCTAAAATTCTATGACAAAATGCATCCTTGTCACATAACTGCCATTTTGAGAGTTCTGACATACAAGCACACCACCAAGAATGTAGTCACAACTTTTCACCACAGTGCCATACGTTCATTCATATGTTCTGCACCCCTTGAGGAATATCAAATAATAAAGTAATTCCAGCCAGGTGCGGAGGCTCACGCCTATAACCCCAGCACTTTCGGAGACTGAGGCGGGCGATCACCTGAGGTCAGGAGTTCAAGATCAGCCTGGCCAACATGGTAAAACCCCGTCTCTACTAAAAGTACAAAAAAATGAGCCAGGCATGGTGGCGGGTGCCTGTAATCCCAGCTACTCAGGAGGCAGAGGTTGTAGAGAGCCCAGATCGCGCCATTGCGCTCCAACATGTGAAACCTCCTCTACTAAAAACACAAAAAATTAGCCAGGTGTGGTGGCAGGCACCTGTAGCCCCAGCTACTAAGGAGGCTGAGGCAGGAGAATCGCTTGAACCCAGGAAGCGGAGGTTGCAGTGAGCCGAGATTGCGCCACACTGCACTCCAGCCTGGGCGACAGAGCAAAACTCCATCTAAAAAATAAAATAAAATAAAATATAGTAAAATAAAATAATATAATTCTAAAGTTGTCTACCTTAAGTACCATGAGGTAATGCTTACTTTGATATAATTATTATTGAGGTTTGTCACAATGAATCACCAAAATAACTCTCTCACTATTTTCTCAATATTTTAGTCGATCAATTCTACCCTTGGCCTAAATCACAAATGGGTCTTATTACTGTAATTAATAATTATTTAATAGATATAAACTCTCATATACTAATAAGTTTCTCATCTTAAAAATCAGGAAAATTTCAGGTGGGCACTCTCAATGTATTAAAAAAACACATTTAAAGTATGCCTTAGAAATTTTAAATGCACTGATTTCATTTTTCATTTATTATAAGCTCTTAGTCAAGCCTTATTATCTGCTTTTTAAAAAAATACGTAATTATTAAATGAATCTGAAACTAAAATACTACACAGTTCTTATCTATTAAAAGCCCATACAGGCATATACATACATAATTTTATACATTTTATATATATATATAGGCTACAGTGGTTTTACTTAGCAACAAATAAATAAGCAATTGTAGCACACAATTTATTGGAAAATTTGCATAATGTTTATCAAAATACTATTTTGTGCATGTAATACATACACTGTGGTTGATTTTCACAAAACACAGAAGGGGATAGGGAGTGTCTCTCCCGAACTCTGTCCCTCTGTCTTTTTCCTGAGAGGCAACCAGTGCTATAGGTTTCTTGTGCATCTTTCCAGATTTATCCTATGAATATGTAAGTATCTATAAAGAGACAGAGAGTGTGTGTGTGTGTGTGTGTGTGTGTGTGTGTGTGTGTATTTTAAATACACACAGACAGGAGAAAATGATACAAAGGATTCTACTTGCAACTTTTTTCATTTGAATTACTTGAAGAGTATCACTTTCCTACAATTTTAAAACTAGGTTTTAAATCTTATATACATGATAATGGTGTCTTTCAAAACGGCAATAAGAGAGCAAACTGCTGGTAAATAAATCTTGGAGGTAGATGATGACTTCTTAAGAAAGACTGTGCCTCAGAGAAAGGCTAAGGAAATCCTGTAATCCCAGCACTTTGGGAGGCTGAGGCGGACGGATCACGAGGTCAGGAGAACGAGACCATCCTGGCTAACACAGTGAAACCCCGTCTCCACTAAAAATACAAAAAATTAGCCAGGCGGAGTGGCGGGTGCCTGTAATCCCAGCTCCTTGGGAGGCTGAGGCAGGAGAATGGCGTGAACCGGAGATGGCGCCACTGCACTCCAGCCTGGGTGACAGAGCAAGACTCTGTCTCAGAAAAAAAAAAAGAAAGGTAAGGAAATGATCTCTTTCTCATACCTGGCAGAAAGCACCACAGCCAGGTACTTAATAGACAGATGTTCGTTGCGTGAAGCAATAGCTGTGACTATATTATATAAAGTTATAGGAGTGTTTAATAAGCTGGGAAAATGCTCACACTATGCTATTAAGTGAGGGGAAAAAATCTCACAAGTTGTATATAAGAATCTCACCTACAAGCACTCTAAGATCTAGTAATTGGTGGCTTGGTAAGGAGTAACTTAACTAGTAAATTAACTGTTCCATGTATATGGTATAATCCTAAAAGATACATCAATATCTACAGTCAACACATTAAAAATTACTCAATGCAGTGAGTCAACAGACAAATTTTGAAAGCATGTGTACATATATAAAAAAGTAGCTAGAAGCAAACAGACACTAAAGACAGATTTTAAAATTACTGCACTAATTCGAATTGGTGTTATATGACCAAAAATGAAAATGTAATTTTCACATAAATGTAAAAATGCAATTATGGAGCAAAGATGGCCATCCTCTTTGCAACAAACTATGAGCCGTCAAAGTTTCTAAAAGTTTGCATTTTGACAGTGCAAGTGGAAGAAGGACCAGGAATCGGAGTTGAAACGTGGAGTCTGCATTTAAAAAAAGGCAGGGCGCAGTGGTTCACGCCTGTAATCCCAGCATTTTGGGAGGCTGAGGCAGGCGTTTCACTTGAGGTCAGGAGTTCGAGACCAGCCTGGCCAACATGGTGAAACCCAGTCTCTACTAAAAATACAAAAATTAGCTGGATGGTGGTTGTGCACACCTGTAATCCCAGCTACTCGGGAGGCTGAGGCAGGAGAATTGCTTTAGTCCAGGAGGCAGAGGTTTCAGTGAGCTGAGATCGCGCCACTGCATTCCAGCCTGGGCAACAGAGCAAAACTGTATCTCAAAAAAGAAAAAAAGAAAAAAAAGTTATGTTTCAGATCCATTCATGACAGTTGATGAGCAGTTAGTTGTAGCTAAGAACCTGGTCCAGATCAGGGTATGTGCGTGTGTGTTGTGTGTATACTTTCAAAACTAGGAAAATCTGGAATAAAAATTGAGGCTTACTATGTTTAAACTCATCAAAATTTCTAATGAAGTTGTTTTTTCACTATCCTCTTATTCTTTTTTTTTTTTTTTTTTTGAGACGGAGTTTCACTTTTGTGGCCCAGGCTGGAGTGCAATGGCGCCATCTCAGCTCACTGCAACCTCCACCTCCCGGGTTCAAGCGATTCTTCAGCCTCAATCTCCTGAGTAGCTGGGATTACAGGCCACCACTACCACACCCAGCTAATTTTTGTATTTTTAGTAGAGATGCGGGGTTTCGCCATGATGGCCAGGCTGGTCTCGCACTCCTGATCTCAGATGATCCACCCACCTCGGCCTCTCAAAGTGCTGGGATTACAGGCGTGAGCCACCACGCCCGGCCTATCCTCTTATTAAGTTATTTGTAAGGTGAGTGAACAATATAAAAATGGTAAAATGCTGAAACAATTAGGTGCACCTGTGAGGCGTATAAAGGTGTTTGTTCTATTAAAGGTGTCTGCGTATATCCTGTAGCAAGTGTATACTGCATACATGTATTTGGTATATACACTCTATATATAATATATATCCTTTTATGTGTATATTTCATAAATTTAAAATTTCAGTGGCTTTAGGTTCCCGAAGAAATTAATCCAAGAAACTTCATTCATTTCATTTCACTTAAGAATAAATAGCAATTCTCAACACATCTTCATCTACAATTATCAAAGAAAATAAGCTTCTTACCTCATATTCTATACATGGATCTGGAGAATCATCAGTACAATGAATAAACCTTTGGAAGAAGAAGAAAAGGCAACTGAATCTTTTTGTTACTGGTGCCAGTTTATGCACACACTTAACATATATTTAACATGAGAGTAACGTTTTACTAAAAGCATCCAGAAACAGGAGACTAACTCAAATTCGACGAACACTTACTGAGCCGTATTCAATGCTTTGCATTAGCCTAGGCAGCCTGAGATATGAACTCATTTAATCATCGAAACAATGTTATGAGCAAGACTGTACCTTCCAGGATCATTTCTATAGCTGGTCTAGTATTTGACAGCACAACAGGGTGACTACAGTCAACAACGATTTAATTGTACATTTTAAAATAACTAGAGTGTAACTGGATCATTTGTAACACAAAGGATGGATACATGTTTGAGTGGAACAGATACCCCACTTTACATGATGTGATAATTAGGCATGGCCTGTTTGTATCAAAACATGCCATGTACCCCAGGATGGGTGCAGTGGTTCATGCCTGTAATCCCACCACTTTGGGAGGCCAAGGCAGGTGGATCACTTGAGGTCAGGAGTTTGACACCAGCCTGGCCAACATGGTGATACCCTGTCTCTAGTAAAAATACAAAAATTAGCCGGCTGTGGTGGTGGACGCCTGAAATCCCAGCTACTCGAGAGGCTGAGGCAGGGGAATCACCTAAAACCGTGAGGCGGAGGATGCAGTGAGCCGAGACAGTGCCACTGAACTCCAGCCTGGGTGACAGAGCGAGACTCCATCTCAAAAAAAAAAACCCAAAAAACAAAAAAAACCCATCTTATGTACCGCATGAATATATACACTTACTATGTACCCACAAAAATTAAAATAAACAATGTTATGGGCTATTATAACCATAGAGATAGCATAATGTCCATTTTTCTGTCAAAAGGCAAAGAAACTAACACCCAGAAAAGACCAAATTTAGTGGCCACAACAAGACTCAAACTGTCTAACCCCTGATTCTCAACGAGGGCAGGAAGGCACTGTCATTGTCCACGTTCTTGTTGTGTGCATCTTACAGTGGAGCCAGCAGCCTACTTCTCTCTCAACGTAACGTTGGCCATCGAAAGTCACACAGTTAACTGAATCCTTCTCCCACGTGCCATTTTAAAACTCAGATAGATCCATTCAGCCCTCCATTAAGTATACTGCTTCCTCCTCGAAAAATCCTCACTTTCATCAACAATGTTTCATATCGCTTATTAAATGCCCATCTATGCCAAAGCTTGGGCTAGGCATTGGGAATGTTAAAATGATGAAGACTCCTTTGTTCTGGTTGAGCTTAGTCTGGTGGAGAAAGCTAAAAAATAGACACAATTTTAAAAACACTAGAGAAAAAATACTCTGCAGCACCAAGGAAGAACTGATTAGCTGGCTGCTGTGTGTCGGAGGGGAGTGGTAGTCAAGAAGGGGCCCGCATTTAAAGCACGGAGAAACGTGCTAAGGCAGGGAGGGCAGTGAGAGATCTCACAGAGCATTCAAATAACTAGAGAAGATCAGCTCTGATGGAGTGCAGGACTCAAGGGGGAACTGCGACAGATGGAGCTGGACAGAAACTCTGGACAAAGAGAAGTATCCAGGTCATGAGAGGCCTCGTGTGCCCACCCAGGGGACTTGGACTTCATTATAAGGACAAAGGGGAGCCCTAAAGTCTCCAACTACGCAAGGGAGATCATTCCATTTAGGCGTTAAGAATATCACTGTGTTCACAGGTACCAGGGGTTTAAAAAACGCATCTATATCACTATGGCACAATGGTGTTGGACAGTTTAGGGGAAGGGCAGCAACCTGGGAGGCAGAGAAGCCTGGTAGAAGGCTTGCTGCAATAGCCTCGGGGAGATGAGGGTCTAACTAAGGGAATGGGAGTGGACACAGAAAGGAGAAGCGTAGAGGCGGAGGCAAGATCACTTGGTGACTCACTGAAAGGGAGGGGGCAGACCTGGCACGGTGGCTCACGCCTGTACTCCCAGCACTCTGGGAGGCTGAGGCGGGCCGATTGCTTGAGTTCAGGAACTCGAGACCAGTCTGAGCAACATGGCAAAACCCTGTCTCTACAAAAAATACAAAAATTAGCCAGGCGTGGCCAGGCGCAGTGGCTCACGCCTATAATCCCAGCACTTTGGGAGGCCGAGGCGGGCAGATCACCTGAGGTTGGGAGTTCGAGACCAGCCTAACCAACATGGAGAAAACTCATCTCTACTAAAAATACAAAATTAGCTGGGTGTGGTGGTGCATGCCTGTAATCCCAGCTACATGGGAGGCTGAGGCAGGAGAATCGCTTGAACCTGGGAGGCAGAGGTTGTGGTAAGCCAAGATCGCGCCGTTGCACTCCAGCCTGGGCAACAAGAGTAAAACTCCATCTCAAAAAAAGAAAAACATTAGCCAGGCCTGGTGGTGTACACCTGTAGTCCCAGCTACTCAGGAGGCTGAGATAGGAGAACTGCTTGAATCCAGGAGGCGGAGGTTGCAGTGAGCCGAGATTGCGCCACTGCACTCCAGCCTGGGTGACCGAGTAAGACACCGTTTCAAAAAAAAAAAAAACTAAAAACAACCTAGTTTTTCTCTGTAAAGCAAAAATCTCTTATTTCAAATCAAACTAACTTAACAGTACATTATCTTGAGGACTAATAATCTAAAACTAGAAAACTAGCTTTCGATTAAAAATTATTTTAATAATAATTAAGCTTAACAGTTATTTTACGTCAATAAAAATTAAGGACTGGGCACAGGGCTCACACCTGTAATCCCAACACTTTGGAAGGCTGAGGTGGGAAGACTGCCTAAAGCCAGGAGTTTGAGACCAGCCTGGGCAACAAAGCTAGGTCCCGCCTCTAAAAAAAATATAAAAATTAGCCGGTACGGAGGCTCAAGCCTGTCATCCCAGCTACTCAGAAGGCTGAGGCGGGAAGATCACTTGAGCTCCGGAGTTTGAGGCTGCAGTAAGCTATGATCACACCATTGCACTCTAGCCCAGAGTGAGATCCTGCCTCAAAAATTAAGGTCATGAACTCTCACAAGTTAATAAAAATTAACTAATTATTTTTATCCTTTAAAAAACTGCCCTTTCGCCCCCAAGGATCAGCATATTGATAAGTACTACATGTATCTAGAGCTTTCCTCTATACGTTTTCTATTATTTAAGAAAATTATTTTTGGACTGGGTGCGGTGACTCACGCCTGTAATCCCAGCACTTTGGGAGGCTGAGGTGGGCGGATCACGAGGTCAGGAGTTTGAGACCAGCTTGGCCGACATGATGAAACCCCATCTCTACCAAAAATACAAAAATTAGCTGGGCATGGTGGCACATGCCTGTAAGCTCAGCTACTTGGGAGGCTGAGGCACGAGAATCCCTTGAACCCAGGAGTTGAAGGTTGCAGTGATCTGAGATCGTGACACTGCACTCCAGCCTGGGCAATAGAGTGAGACTCTGTCTCATAAAGAAAAAAAAAAAAGACAGAAAATTACTTTTGTACACATATCCAGTATAGAGCCAAATGAATATTTTAGATTAGATAATCTACATAAGGAGAAAAGGAAAACGTTCCAATGAATGTAAGAGAACAATAGACCAGAGGTTAAAAATCACAATCAGGACCTTGGGCTCCGTACTAGTATTTTATGGTCTTAGAAAAGTCAATTATTCCTCCCCTCCCCCTCCCCCTCCCCCTCTCCCCATGGTCTATCTCTCCCTCTCCCTCTCTCTCCACGGTCTCCCTCTGATGCCGAGCAGAGGCTGGACTGTAGTGCCGCCATCTCGGCTCACTGCAACCTCCCTGCCTGATTCTCCTGCTTCAGCCTGCCGAGTGCCTGGGATTGCAGGCGCACGCCGCCACGCCTGACTGGTTTTCGTATTTTTTTGGTGGAGACAGGGTTTTGCCGTGTTGGTGGGGCTGGTCTCCAGCTCCTAACCGCGAGTGATCTGCTAGCCTCGGCCTCCCAAAGTGCCGGGATTGCAGACGGAGTCTCGCTCACTCAGTGCTCAATGTTGCCCAGGCTGGAGTGCAGTGGTGTGATCTCGGCTCGCTACAACCTCCACCTCCCAGCCGCCTGCCTTCGCCTCCCAAAGTGCCGAGATTGCAGCCTCTGCCCAGCCGCCACCCCGTCTGGGAAGCAAGGAGCGTCTCTGCCTGGCCGCCCATCGTCTGGGATGTGAGGAGCCCCTCTGCCTGGCCGCCCAGTCTGGGAAGTGAGGAGCACCTCTTCCCGGCCGCCATCCCGTCTAGGAAATGGGGAGCGTCTCTGCCCAGCCACCCATCGTCTGAGATGTGGGGAGCGCCTCTGCCCCGCAGCCCATCGTCTGGGATGTGAGGAGCGCCTCTGCCCCGCCGCCCCGTCTGGGATGTGAGGAGCGCCTCTGCCCAGCCGCGACGCTGTCTGGGAACTGAGGAGTGTCTCTGCCCAACCTCCACCCCGTCTGGGAGGTGAGGAGCCTCTCTGCCCGGCCGCCCCGTCTGAGAAGTGAGGAGCCCCTCCGCCCAGCAGCCGCCCCGTCTGGGAAGTGAGGAGCGTCTCCACCCAGCAGCTGCCCCCTCCAGGAGGTGGGGGAGAGCCCCCACCCGGCCAGCCGCCCCATCTGGGAGGGAGGTGGGGGGCAGCCCCCGCCCGGCCAGCCGCCCCGTCCAGGAGGGAGGTGGGGGGCGCCTCTGCCCAGCCGCCACGCCGTCTGGGAGGTGTACCCAACAGCTCATTGAGAACGGGCCATGATGACGATGGCGGTTTTGTTGAGTGGAAGGGGGGGAAGTGTGGGGAAAGGAAAGAGAAATCAGATTGTTGCTGTGTCTGTGTAGAAAGAAGTAGACATGGGAGACTCCATTTTGTTCTGTACTAAGAAAAATTCTTCTGCCTTGGGATGCTGTTAATCTATAACCTTACCCCCAACCCCGTGCTCTCTGAAACATGTGCTGTGTCCACGAAGGGTTAAATGGATTAAGGGCGGTGCAAGATGTGCTTTGTTAAACAGATGCTTGAAGGCAGCATGCTCCTTAAGAGTCATCACCACTCCCTAATCTCAAGTACCCAGGGACACAAACACTGCAGAAGGCCGCAGGGTCCTCTGCCTAGGAAAACCAGAGACCCTTGTTCACATGTTTATCTGCTTACCTTCCCTCCACTATTGTCCTATGACCCTGCCAAATCCCCCTCTCTGAGAAACACCCAAGAATGATCAATAAATACTAAAAAAAAAAAAAAAAAAAAAAAAAAAGAGAGAAGCTAGAAAAAAAAAAGAGAAAAGTCAATTATTTTTTGGGACTGGCTCATAGTTGCCTCAGCAGTAAATGGCAGATGGTATTGGGTGATTTCTAAAGTTCATTATGCAATCAAATCTGTAGACAACTTGTCAGGCCCGCTTTTTCTTCCCTGTCTTTATATTCAGTTAACTACTTACTGCACGCTGAACCTCAGGGTGTGTCAGAGCTTCTAGAACACAGGTTTGAAAATGAGAGAGTGGAATGAGATGATTTTTCAAAATACTTCCCCAGAGATTCCAATCCAAAGTGTCCAAGATGGGGACTAGACACATATTTTCTTTTCTTTTATTCATTTATTTATTTTTTTGAGACAGAGTCTCACTCCGTGGCCAGGCTGGAGCGCAGTGGCACGATCTTGGCTCACTGCAACCTCCGTCTCCCGGGCTCAAGCAATTCTCCTGCCTCAGCCTCCCAAGTAGCTGGGATTACAGGCGTGTGCCACCAAGCCCAGCTAATTTTTGTATTTTTAGTAGAGATGGGGTTTCATCGAGTTGGTCAGGCTGGTCTCAAACTCCCGACCTTAGGTAATCCACCTGCCTCGGCCTCCCAAAGTGCTGGGATTACAGATGTGAGCCACCGCACCCAGCCCATATTTTAGAAATCATTATTCTGAGGAGTAGCTGCAGTTCAAGCTCTGTAAGGGGTTCTTGGGAAAAGCGCCAGGATATGCCTGTCCACCAACTACAGGCCTCAGCAGGAAGTCTGCACCATTCTTGGGGAAAGGAAGAAATAGGGAAAAGGAAGGAAGCATCAAACTGGAGCAGCTCGGACCCCAAGCATAGCCTTCAGGGCCGCAGCTTCAGCTAGAAAACTCAGTCTGGCTACCCTAAATCCCACCAAGGTCACTGGAGGACTCAGCACATTTCCCACGACAAAAAGGCTCCGTCTCAAGAAAAAACAAAAACAAAAACAAAAAAACCACCACCACCACAAAATATTCCCCAAATTTTTTTCCTGGGTTACTATTTAACATTAATTTGGAAGATTTCTTCAACTGAAATTTTCAACAAAGTACCAAAAGAACGTGGTATTCAACTACAGTCACTAATTTGTAGTCTAAGCTGAAAGGAGGCTCTTATGTTGAATTCAAAGTTCAAATTCTTGGCAGAATAATTATAGTCCCTCTAGCAAGCTATGAAAATTCTAAAATAAACACAAATGTGATTAAGTAATAAATGTTACATTATTTACAATGTAAGTGGCAAACTAAAAGAATTCTCAGGTATAATAATAGCAAAGATTTTATTCCAAAGAAAAAAAAAGCAAAATCCCAAAGGCCTACTTTGATGAAAGCTACTATGAAATTATGCCAGCATATTTTTACTACACTTTAATATTTGCCAGTTAACAGGAATTTTGGAAAGCAATGTTATAGACACAAATTTTTAGAAAGGAAAGAAAAAAAAAAAGAAAGGAAAAGAAAAAATATTCTATCCCCAAACTAAAGAAATATGCTTAACTAGTACTGATGACTAATCAGATGTCTTTTTTTTTTTTTTAAGGAACAAAATAATGGCATTTGCAGCAACCTGGATGGAACTGGAGACTATTATTCCAAGTGAAGTAACGCAGGAACGGAAAACCAAACATCGTATGTTCTCACTTGTAAGTGGGAGCTAAGCTATGAAGACGCAAAGGCATAAAAATGATACACTGGACTTCTGGGACTCAGGGGAAAGGGTGAGGGTTGGCGAGGGATAAAAGACTACACGTTGGGTACAGTGTACACTGCTCAGGTGATGGGTGCACCAAAAGCTCAGAAATCACCACTAAAGAATGTACCCATGTAACCAAACACCACCTGTTCCCCCAAACCTACTGAAATAAAAAAATAAAAATACAGGGGGAAATACATAGTGTACGTCAATGACAGATAATTACACATCCCTTGTCTTTACTCAGAAGCAAAATAAACACTGAAATAATTTTACCAAAAAAAAATAAAAGGAGTGCCACATTTTTTTATTTTATTACTACCCAAATCATCCTCAGCTCAAAGAAGACTTAGCTTTTCTGCCAGCCAAATGGCCTTACTATAAATAGGTATATTTATTATGCCCTAAACATGCCTTGGGACTGACATGCTATTTTTTGTGGACTTCATAATTATAATTAGGCCCGGTGTAGTGGCTCATGCCTATAATCCCAGCACTCTGGGAGGCCGAGGCAGGTGGATCACTTGAGGTCAGGAGTTCAAGACCAGCCTGGCCAACATGGTGAGACCCTGTCTCTACTAAAAATACAAAAATTATCCAGGCGTGGTGGCGTGCGCCTACAGTCCCAGCTACTTGGGAGGCTGAGGCAGGACAACTGCTTGAACCTGGGAGGCAGCGGTTGCAGTGAGCCAAGATCATGCCATTGGACTCCAGCCTGGGTGACAGAGCGAGACTCTGTCTCAAGAAAAAAATAAAAATAAAATAAAATACATAAACGAATAATAATTATAATCAACACACCGTTTCTCTCGTGCTGTTCCAAATATTTTGCACACTGAAAGATGACAAATGGGCCAGGCACACTGGCTCAAGCCTGTAATCCCAGCACTTCGGGAGACCAAGGTGGGCGGATCATGAGGTCAGGAGATTGAGACCATCCTGGCTAATACGGTGAAACCCCGTCTCTACTAAAAATACAAAAAAAAATTAGCCAGGCATGGTGGCAGGCGCCTGTAGTCCCAGCTACTCGGGAGGCTGAGGCAGGAGAATGGCGTGAACCCGGGAGGCGGAGCTTGCAGTGAGCCACGATCACGCCACTGCACTCCAGCCTGGGCAACAGAGCGAGACTCCGTCTCAAAAAAAAAAAAAAGAGGACAAATGTAACATATCCAGTGATGAGCATGTCGGTCTGGGACTGTGGGAGGCAGAGGGTGCAGTGAGCCAAGATCGCATCATTGCATTTCAGCCTGGGTGACAGAGTGAGACTCTATCTTGAAAAAATTTTAAAAAAAAATTACTAAGACAAATCAAATTCCCTGACCTGCAGTCAAATGTATTTCTCCTTCATCATGAGCCCCTCAGAGAAACAATTAACAAATTTATTTTTTCACTCAGCCCTTTTTTCTAAATGCCAATTGAGTATCAAAATGTTTTCTTGTCTACTCAGCCCACTGAAGTGACAATAAAATAATGAAAGCAGCCTGTGACTCAGCAAGTTTAATAACATAGAATGTTTATATCTTGGCAAATAACACAGTCAGCAAATTTATGTGTGTCATATTTCTTTCTTTCTCTCTTTTTTGTATTTTTAGTAGAGTCAGGGTTTCACCATGTTGGCCAGGCTGGTCTCGAACTCCTGACCTCGTGATCCACCCACCTCAGCCTCCCAAAGTGCTGGGATTACAGGCGTGAGCCACCGCGCCCGGCCACATGTCATATGTCAACCTCCACTTTTTAAAGCTTTTTGTCTACAGTAACCATTTGAAGAACAGGAAAGAAAAAAGCAGTATTTTCTAGAGTACATTATAGGCAGGGAGACAGCACTAGCTGTCTACCCTCCAGGATTCCCATCTTCAGCCTGTCCAATGGAACCTGGATTGTTCAGATGCTGGGAGCATTTGTGCTTCCTGGTTCCCTCTCTAATCATTGAGATGCATGTGCTGACTCATCTAAGCAGCCACCAAGGCGTGGGCCTGGACCAGCGGATCCACATTGCCTGGGAACAGGTTAGAAATGATCTGCTTAGGCCCCCTCCAGGCCTGCTGGACCAGAAACCCTGGAGCCCAGGAACCTGTGTTTCATCTAACTCTCTGGATAACCCTGACGCATGCTTGTGTCGAGAACCTTGGTCTAACCAGGGGTGTCCAAACTTTTAGCTTCCCTGGGAAACATTAGAGGAAGAATTGTCTTGGGCCACATATAAAATACACTAACACTAATGATAGCTGATGAGCTAAAAAATAAGTAAATAAAAAATAAATAAATAAATAAATTTTAATAAAATTTATTTAAAAAATAAATTTAATAAATGAAATTTTAATAAATAAATAAATACAAATTAAAAAAATAAAAATCTCAAAAAAAATCTTACGATGTTTGAAAGTTTATGAATTTGTGTTGTGGCACATTCAAAGCCATCCCGGGCCATGGCCCACGGGCTGCTGCAGCTTGGACAAGCTTGATCTAAACGAATCACAGCAATTCTGCTCCCTTTGCCAACTACTGGATTAGGCTGGGTAACTGTGACCAATGAGGGCTGAGAGGAAGTCTCCCAGGAGGCCTCCAGGAATGCTTTACTCGTTCACATACAGAAAAGAACAAGAGGAAACAACCTATCCCTCCTGTTTCTGGTTGAGATATGGTCATGTCTTCATATGACAGATACTTGGAACTGTAGCAGCAATCTTTTAACCATTAGGTGAGAAACCCAAAGACCGAGCCACTAAGTCAAGGATGGTGGAAGGAAAGGGCCTGAAAGAGCCCTGGCGACCTTGGTGAGCCACTGAGCATTCCTAAAAATACCCAATCTCCAGGCTCCTCGTTAAATAATGTATTTTTTAAATCCCATGTGTAAGCTATTTTCGGCTTCTGTTAACTTGCAATTCTGACTGTAACATTTTTTTTTTGTCAAGTCAAGCCTCAAAATAGTATAAACAACATAATCTCATTTTTATGTTATATAAATTTATACATATTATATATAACTGTATTATATTAAATGTTCTATTATATAATATTTTAATGGGAAGTATTTTGGAAAGAATGAATCTATAACTTTTTTTTTTTTTTGAGACAAAGTCTCGCTCTGTCGCCCAGGCTGAAGTGCAGTGGCGCGATCTCAGCTCACTGCAAGCTCCGCCTCCCGGGTTCACGCCATTCTCCTGCCTCAGCCTCCCGAGTAGCTAGGACTGCAGGCGCCCGCCACCACGCCCGGCTAATTTTTTGTATTTTCAGTAGAGACGGGGTTTCACCGTGTTAGCCAGGATGATCTGGATCTCCTGACCTCATGATCCGCCCACCTCGGCCTCCCAAAGTGCTGGGATTACAGGCATGAGCCACCACACCCAGCATTTAATCTTTTAAGAGCTCTTCAAGGCCTTTGTGACAAACATTCATCTTTACTGAGTTCTATCAATAAGGAATTTTTATGTGATGGCAACACTTCCTGTTATGCAACCGATTAATTGCTAAGCAACTACCAACAGTTACTTCTAGACAAAGTGACACGTTAGTAGCGCCCAGCTAAAAGGCTGAAAGCCCAGTGCTTGGCATTTGCTCCTGCCAATTCCCAATTATTTATAATAGCAGAAGGATGGCATTTTGTGGGTAAACACTCTAAATCCAAGACCTCAAACTCACTTGCTGATTTAACTTCCTTGCCATGCAAAAGTCAAAAAGTACAAAATGCAAAACAACAGACTATTATTCATACCATCCACTGGAACATCAGTTAAACGAAGATAAAAAGCAAGACGTAGCTTAAGAGGAGGCAGCTGATCATTAAATTGCAAAGCTGATTTAAAAAAAACATCAGCCTCAGAATTAAAAGCAATTTATAGTTAGTTCTGGAAAGGCAAAAGTGTCTTCCCACACTCACTGCAACTGACACTAAAGGCATATAAAAATCCTTATAAGGGCCAGGCACAGTGGCTCACGCTTGTAATCCCAGCACTTCAGGAAGCCAAGGCGGGCGGATCACGAGATCAGGAGTTCAAGACCAGCCTGACCAACAAGGTGAATCCGCTTCTCTACTAAAAATACAAAAATTAGTTGGGCATGGCCGGGTGCGGTGGCCCACGCCTGTAATTCCAGCACTTTGGGAGGCCTAGGCAGGCGGATCACGAGGTGAGGAGATGGAGACCATCCTGGCTAACGTGGTGAAACACCGTCTTTACTAAAAATACAAAAAAAAATTAGCTGGGCGTGGTAGCCATGCGCCTGTAATCCCAGCTACTTGGGAGGCTGAGGCAGAAGAACTGCTTCAACCCAGGAGGCGGAGGTTGCAGTGAGCCAAGATTGCACCACTGCACTCCAGCCTGGGCGACAGAGTGAGACTCCGTCAAAAAAAAAAAAAACCATTATCAGTTGAATTATCAAGTAGACAGCATTTTCAGTGTAACATATTTTAAGACCTCTTAAAGCATTAGATGTCAAAAAGCTTTACAATGGAAAAAAGAGCCACAACTTTGTTCTATTTTTCAGAGGGTATCTCCTAGAATGAAAATACTACTGGTTACTAAAACAGGCTACCAACACCTGTGCCAACACAACCAGAGGGTTGACAATTAAATGTCAAAACAATACTTGCTCAGGCACAGAAGGATCACTTGAGACCAGGAGTTTGAGACCAGCTTGGGCAACATAGTGAGACCCCATCTCTATTAAACACACACACACAGACACAGACACACAGACACACACCACACACACACACTTTTTTCTATAAAACTAGAAATACCAATACAAGTAAAATCCTTATACAATAAACATGTAATACGATGTAACACAACCACACTCACTGATTACTTAACTTCCCTTTCTTGAATTAATATAATACTACAACCTTATGTCCAAGCTGCAGAGCTCACACGCCAGAGTTGATGCACGACCGACACGTAGTGAACTTAAGTTATTCATGCCACGATCCACTTCAAAAAAAGGATTTGAGTCTGACATGGAACGAACTGGCAGGACAAACTCAACTGGACAGGGCGGAAGTGGCATGCTTATGCAAGATTTTCACTCTCATGCTCCTGCTTCTAGGTTCTGGGATATGCTTTAAAGACCAGTTTAAAGATGAGTTTACCTGAGATAACTGGTCTGTTTAAGATGCAACAGGAAGAAAAACCTAGAAAAATAGCTGCTATTTGAAGACAACAAAAGAAGCATAAAGAGAGCACCTGCGGCTCAGCAGGGCAGGTATTCCGTCCACCTACAACGCTGACTGCACTGTCAAATTCTTTAGCTATAGAGTGACTGGCAAAAGGAAAGAAATACAGCAATTCCACTTCTAGAAACTTATCCTAAGGAGAAAATTAGGGGAGTGCACAAAGAGTTAGCTCAAGGATATTCATTGCAGCTCTGGAAGAACAGAGGGTAGGTCAAATATGTCATGGTACAGCTCTCCAGAGGCGCAGCACTAAGGGAATGGAAAATAATGAATTTAGACACGCAATGATGTCACACTGGTAAGTGCAAAAGCAGCCCACTAAGAAATATAAACCACAGGCTTGGCGTGGTGGCTCACACCTGTAAGCCTAACACGTTGGGAGGCCAAGGCAGGCAGATCACAAGGTCAGGAGTTCGAGACCAGCCTGGCCAATATGGTGAAACCCTGCCTCTACTAAAAATATAAAAAATTAGCCGGGTGTGGTGGTGCATGCCTGTAGTCCCGGCTACTTGGGAGGCTGAGGCAAGAGAATCGCTTGAACCCAGAGGTTGCACTGAGCTGAGATCGTGCCACTGCACTCCAGCCTGGGAGACAGAGTGAGACCCTGCCTCAAAAAAAAAAAAAAAAAGAAAAAAAAAGAAATACAAACTATAGGATCCCATTAAAAAAATCTGTATATAGGTAGAGATAGATGTATTTATATTATATTTATCTATAGATAGAATTCTAGAAATATAATAACCAATTGTGGCAAGATCATGAGTGCTTTTGTTTTTGTTTGTTTTGAGATGGAGTCTCGCTCTGTCGCCCAGGCTACAGTGCAGTGGCACGCAATCTCGGCTCACTACAAACTCCGCCTCCCGGGTTCAAGCCATTCTCCTGCCTCAGCCTCCCGAGTAGCTGAGACTATAGGCACGTGCCACCACGCCCGGCTAATTTTTTGTATTTTTAGTAGAGACGGGGATTCACTATATTGGCCAGGCTGGTCTTGAACTCCTGACCTCAGGTGATCCACCTGTCTTGGCCTCCCAAAGTGCTGGGAATCCCAGGCGTGAGCCACCGCGCCCGGCCATGAGAGCTTTTATATTTCCTGTTTTTATTTAGCTGTAATCCCTAATTTTGCTTTTCTATGATAAATATTTATCAGTTTTATAATAGAAAAAAAATTACTGAAATGTTTAATGGGCAGAGACGCAGGAAGTCCTTAACATTTTCAGATATTCATTATACACCATTTTCTATAAAGGGAAAAGAAAGATTTGCTTTAACAGGTCATTTTGGCAATATGAAATAGCTTTGTTATATGGAGCTATGATTTATAATAGTACTATAAGTAATGGAATTTCATCTATAGAGAAATTTGCACAAATACTGAAACTATTGACATGAGAGAATAAGAGATACTTACGGCTGAGTGAAGTCACGAGTGATGAAATCGGAACTCTTGAAAAGCAGAAAGATGTCGCTGAGGGTTTTACATTTCAGAGAACTATTCATTGCTATCCAATACGCATCCTAAAGAATGAAGCACATGCTATTTAGTCCATATTCCATGTTGGCTGCTATGAATGCTCAGGCCTATAACAAAATCAATAATGCATATCACTTCAAGGGTTTAAGGAAGAAAGTCAAGTAAATTTAAGCAGTACTGTCAAATGTTAAATTATGCTTAACAACAAAAAGCGTCACCACTGCATTTCAGACACTTGGTTATGAACACTGAGATGTCAGGGTCCTCACATTTCAGCCCAGGCCTAAGTACTTCCCAGTGTTTTTCTTACTGATAATAGAAGAGAAGAAAATGAGGTATCAGAAACATCGACATTTTGGCTACAAGATTAAGGTAGTAAAGAAATAGCCTGACCAGCTACTCTCCAAGAAAAGAGAGATCAATTTCCACTCTTCCCGTTTCTGGGGAGTGGCAGCCAAACACTTGAACTTTGGCGGCTGGAGCAGTTACACCCCACGTCTATCAAATCTGAAAGAGAAGGAGGTGAGCTATTCTGAACCACTACAACTTTAAATGGTGAATGTCTCATACATAAGAACAAAAGATGGGAAGGCAAATGCAAAGCAGGCACAAAGCTCAGTGGAACATGCCTAAAAATTACAGAATAATTAAGTCATTTAAAAAATACAACTCTCCCACAGACAGATCAGACACAGGATATAACAGAATTTTGAGAAAACTAACAGTTGCAAACCACTATCCAGTTATCCACACTACATGGAAGAAAAGTACTAAAATATTTGAAAACAGCTACCTCTGGGGAGTAGGAAATGGTGAAGTAAAATAGGTGTCAAGACCTGCTGATTTTCATGGCAAGCTTCCAAATCTATTTGAAATTTTAAATTCTGTACATGTAGAGTATAATTAATTTTTAGAAGTAAAAACAAAAAAGAAAAAATAATAAAAGTAAAAACAAAACTTAGATTAAGTACAAATTATCATTCATTTTAGAATAAAAAAGGCATGAGATAACTTTTGAAATTACAAATAGGTCTCTGATTCCTTAAATAAGCTTTGCTAATACAAAACTGTTTTCTATTGGATTAAAACAACTAACGGATTTTTCCACAGGCCTTAACTTTTATAAAAATCTTGTCAATGCAGTATTAAAATAATAAGACACAATTTAAGAAAAGATCAGTTGACTTCTCCAACCACTCTATTTCTATAGCCTATGACACTATTACTTTTTTTATTTTTATTACTTTTCAACAAAGAAAAATTTCTCTGTTAAACTGAACAGCTGAAGTTTTGAAAAGGGCAGAGTATGAATTTCCTCAGAATTCAAAAACAATCAGCAACACAAGACGTGGAAACTACCTTTTGGCAGAATATACAGTATTTCACAGACCCAGGCAAGTGTATAGCAAAATCCGGAAAGTAAAACAGTAGAGGGAAATTAATAATAAATTCCACAGTATTTTTCCTAGAATTAGGAATATAATTAGACCCTCTGTAGGGATATGAAATGAAATAAACAGCAAAACAAAGAATATTCAAACAGTAAGAGAATTACTTATGTGTTCCTACCCTTGGGGCACTCCAATTAAGCTTAGGAAAGACACTGCCCCCGAGGGAATTGATAGCTTCCTGGACTTTAGTGGCAAACTCAGGAAATTCTGGTGCCTACAGAGAGAGAAGAAATCATTGGGCACGTCAATATCATCACAGTATATATATAAAACAAGATCAAAATCTCAAGGTTATAGTTTAGGGTGTTAAAAACAGAATTTAGAATACAAATTACTATCAGAATTTCTGAACCCAGCTAAATAAAATCAGTGATAAAGTACATTTACCAAAAAGAGAAATAAAATAATCAGCTGCTTAAATGGCATTTTCCAGACAATCAAAGCCTGCAAAGCTGAAATGACACAAGTCACTAGGCTTCTGAGGATGTGAGGAAGGAGTGAATGGTTCTCTGTACACCGACATAAAACCAGCATTCATCAAGAGAAAATAGACAGGTGGAATATCACCTGTAGCAATACTCTAGTTGTCAGAAATAACATCCCTACTTGAAGAGCTAGAAGCCCTTCCACTTGCAGGAAGAGTCTTAGCCATATGGTATTCCCCAAAGCCACGGAGAGAATGAAAAATAAATGATGTGGCAAACTGTATTTAAACACTGCTATTTCCAGACAAGTTTTAAAACAAGCAAAACTCAAAATGTGAACCTTAGTCAAGGTAAAACGTTCTTTCCTGTTTGGATGATTTTTAAAATGCATATTTTATATAAGCTAGTGACCAAAACGTTCTGTGTTTGTTTCGACCCGGAAGTGAATAGAAATACTGCTGTTAAACAGGAACTTAAGCCTGATGTCATTATGTCCTGCCTTGAGCCTAGGTCACTATCACAGGAGCTTATGGACATAAGAAAGAAAAAAAGGTAAGTAAGAGAGGGGGAAGTAGGGCCCTCAAGAGACATAAAAAAACAAAAACATTAACAGATTCTCCACGCAGTCATTAATTTTCATTTATACCCTGTAAAGAGGATTGCTGCCCCCTATCGGGCAACTATAAGTTCTGAAAAAATCCAGTAATCAACTTCTTCCCTAGGAAAAAAAAAAGACAGACTACATCTTGAATTAACTAAACTACACATTCCAAGATGACATCAAATAGTTATGTGGATCCCCAAGATCTAACCCAGCTATGCGAGAGAAAAAACTGTGACAAGAGTCTGAGAAAAGACCAAAGAAATGAGTTTTAAAACATGGTCATATATCCCCCAAAACAAGAAACAGCTTTGAGCAAAAGGCTAGGGAATAAAAACGAGAGCTTAAGGTCCAATTAGGCTGCCTTTCTTTCTGTTACAGATAAATCTGACCTCTAGACTGGTTAATAACTATCTATCTTCCACTAGACGACTTCAGCTTAGATACATGAAATGAGACTAGAGTAATTTAGAGAGGTTTTCAAAATGAACAGCAGCACTGAGTCCTTTATTTTCCATTCATCTCTCCCCATCCAAAGCAATTATGATTTATGTGAGGGCATTTCCTTATAATTGCCTGAAGCGGCTGACTTGGCTCCCCTACCGCTCTAGCCATAAACCCCACTTCTGTGAGATGGGCACTGGCAGTATTTCCTATGAACGGCATTGTTGCACAAACTTTACAACGGGAAAGAATTCAACTTTCAAAGACAAAGCAATTTAATTTTCCTATCCCATAAAGCTTGACATCTAAGGATTACTTTTCATGTATGCCTTTTAAAAGATGTGATCAGTCCCCTCAAATCCTCAAAATTATTCAACTTTAGGATAACCTGCCATAAGAATCCTAAAACAAATTTAAATTATAAAAAGTTTATGCACAGTCTTAAGTGGAAGACTATGTACTGTTTACATACAGCACAACCTTCTAGGTTATCTGTTTTTAGCCAGGTCTGTGAGCTACTTTACAACTTGGCAAATTCTAGGTAAGTGATAGTGACATGAACTAATTCTTACGGACAGGCAATTTCTATCTCATCTGGAAGAGGTCCAATTGTCTTTTCTCCCATACTGCAGGGAGGCAAAACCAGTTTTGCCTCATTTACATACTCATTTCAATATTCCTGATCTAAAAATATATCTTTTCTTTGGATTCTCTTTTGAACCAGTTCTAACAATCTGTCTGGTTCCCTCATGAGTTAAATAACATCTTCAACACGCATTAAAGAGTTTTATATGAGTCATGATTTTACCATTTTCTATAAATTATCTATCAAAATCACGGAACTAACACTGACACAATACAGATCTTATTCAAAATTTGCCAAGTGTCCTAGTAACGTCTTCTACAGAAAAAAAAAAAACTGAAACTTTTTTTCTGGTCCAGGCATCCAGTCTAGCCAGAATCATGGACTAAATCTAGTTGTCAGGTCCCTTTAATCTTCTTCAATCTGTGGCAGTTCCTCTCTCTGTTGTTCTTACCATTTATGACCTTGACGTTTTTGAAAAGTTCAGGGCAACTACTCTATACAATTTCTAAAAGTTGAGTCTGTTGGATGTCTCCTCCCAAGCAGACTCAGGCTGCGCAGCTGTGACAGGTGGTGTCCTTCCCATGCATCGTATCAGGAGGCACACATGACAGGTCTGTCCCATCACTGACAAGGTTAATACTGATCACTTGGCTGCCAGGTCTTTGCATTGTAACATTACTATTTTTCTTTGCGCAAACAGTAAGTAATTTGGGTGAAGATACTTAGAAAAGATGGAACTATCCTCTTTCTCACTGTATATTCACCCACTAATTTTAGCATCTATTCAATCAAATATTATTACAATGGTTGCCAAATAGTAATTCCTAATTCCATCATTCCTACTACATGTATTAGTTAGTGCCTTTAGTACTATAAAGACAAGCTTCCTTTTTTCCCCACTTATTTAATCACTTATGTATGTCACTATGGGATCAGCAATTCTTATTTTAGTCAATAGGTCATAACCTATTCTTATACTTCACATAGAGTATCCCTTATCCAAAATGGGTAAGACCAGAAGTGTTTTGGATTTCAGAATATTTGCATATACATAATGGGGATGGGACCCAAATCTAAACACAAAAGTCATTTACGTTTCATATACACCTTATGCACACGGCCTGAAGGTAATTTCATTTTTCCCTTGGGGAGGCTGAATGAGCTGGGTTGTGCACCTGCATTGTGGCTGTACCTGTCACATGAGGTCAGGTGTGGAATTTTCCACTTGTGGTGTCATGTTAGTGCTCGTAAAGTTTTGGGAGCTAAGCATGCTGGCACACACCTGCAGTACCTGCTACTCAGGAAGCTGAAGCAGAAGGATCACTTGAGCCCAGAAGTTTGAGTGCAGCCTGGGCAACACAGTGATAGTCAGTCTTTTTAAAAAGTTTTGGAATTTGGAGCATTTTCAATTTTGAATTTGGGGATTAAGAATACTCAAACTCTATTTGTTATGATGCTCATATTTTTAGACAGTGAGAGCCCAAAGCTAGCTTCTGGCATCTTTTTGTCATGTCACATCATTGTTTCAGCACTTCCACAGTTTCTGGCACAAGTTGTTGCAGGCTCATTTTTACTTTCCCAATCCCAGTCCAGAATATCTCCAAGAAGCTTCAATTTTGTTTAGTGGAGAATGGTATTTAGAAACCAAGATCAAGGCATCAGGCGTGCTCACTGCTACCAGGATGTTACATGTCATTGATTCTAAAACTTCTTAGTGAGCAGAGTTTGGTAAATACACACACACACCTTTATATTATTAATTGCTGTATCTATCATCTATACATATTTATTTTATTTTATTTTATTTTTTGAGACGGAGTCTCTCTCTGTCACCCAGGCTGGAGTGCAGTGGCGCAATCTTGGTTCACTGCAACCTCCACCTCCTGGGTTCAAGCAATTCTCCTGCCTCAGCCTCCCAAGTAGCCGGTATTACAGGCGTCTACCACCATGCCTGGCTAGCTTTTTGTGTTTTTAGTAGAGACGGGGTTTCACCATGTTGGTCCTCAAGTAATCCACCCACCTTGGCCTCCCAAAGTGCTGGAATTACAGGCATCGGCCACCGCGCCAGGCCCATCTATACATATTTAAAAATGAGTTGATACTGATACTCCCCACCACTATTAAAATCCAGGTCAGATACCACTTGTCCTGTCAGGCATTCTGGTGCCCTCAGCTGTAACTGCTGTCTCTGATCTGACAGCACTGTCATCTCCCCCTGCCTGTGTCACCTTTCCCACTGGTTTACAAACCCCTAATGGTGGAAATGAAATCATATTCATCTTTGTTCATCTCACGGAATCTAGTTTAGTGCCCTGAGTATGGCAGATAAGTAACATTTACATGACACTGAATGGAATTTTCATAAAAGGAGAGTGATCTGAATGGCATCTGGAGTAAATGAAACACGCAAACTTTCCACTTAGGCACCTGCTGGCAGGCTTCCCTTTTTAAATCTAAAGAAATATGTCAGTTTTGAGCAGCTCCACTTCTTTTTTTTTCTTCTATCCTGGCAATCATATCTTGTTCATTAAAATAAACAAGTATCTTCTTATCTAGAGCTGGATTAGAACAGACCCTCCCACAAAACTAGTTTTCTGTATTTCTGCCTTTACATTTACTTGTAAGGAGTTTCACTAAAAACTTTCCCGTCAACTCAAGGTATGAGGAGTTTCATTCACCTATTTTTAGAAATAGATCATTTGCTTCACTCACTCCTTTAAAAATACCTTCATTTAAAAAATTTTAGGTTAACTTTCACAACAGCACTCTTATCCTGAAACACTGTAATATGCTTGATAACTTCTACATTTTTATGTAAAACACTGGTAAAAGTCACATACCTCTCTACTCTCGCTTGAAAGAAACAGTAATTTTTATGCCATTTAAATACGCTTGAGGCCAGGTGCTGTGGCTCAGAACTGTAATCTCAGGACTTTGGGAGGCCGAGGCGGGTGTTATCACATGAGGTCAGGAGTTCGAGACTACCATGGCTAACATGGTGAAACCCTGTCACTACTAAAAATACAAAAATTAGCCGGGCATGGTGTCAGGTGACTGTAATCCCAGCTACTCAGGAGGCTGAGGCAGGAGAATAGCTTGAACCTGGGAGGCGGAGGTTGCAGTGAGCCAAGATCACACCACTGCACTCCTGCCTGGGCGACAGAGCAAGAATCTGTCTCAAAAATAAATACACAAAACAACTAACTAACTAAATAAATATACTTGAATAAGGAAATACAGATTTTCACTTTATGTTCCAGAGATTTAGGAATCTCAGAGTTTAATGTTAGGCGTAATTCCTTCTTGCAGAGAGTCAGAGCTTAACAGAAGTCAAGGCATCAAATACGCACTCGAAATATTTCCTTTGCAATCAAAGGGAAAAAGGGCAAATCATGTTTGCCTGCTAAATGATGCTTCAAGTTATTTTTCAAAATAAAAACGACAGCCCACAGGGAAAATAATATATGAGATGGTGACTGACTAGGAATTTAAGAGAGGTATGCACTTAAACCTTGACGCTAACCCTTGTGTGACAGTGTGAGGCTGTCCCCACGCTGAGTCTGCTGTGCTCTTACCGTAAGCGTGGCTGTGTTCTCATCATCAGACCACTGCATGAAAAAGAGGAAAAAAATAAAACATTAAATTTAAATACTGCACTGGGCTTCAAAAAGCAGTGCTCCATCTAAAAATTATAAATCAAACAGGAGACATCTTTTCCGGAATACAGCATATGTGAAAATATATGTCAAAGTAAGATTCTCACGTAATTTCTCATTTTATCAGATGTAAGATAAGATCTACAAGTCAGAACCATCTCAGAGATCATTTAAATTACAACAGTCTACAGAACAGATTATTTTATTTGGTACCAACCTGTATTTCTTCTGCTTCATCATCACTGTCTGGCTGAGAATGTGTTGGTGGATCATCCCTAAAAAAACACAAACAAACATCAAGAAAGAAAAGGACTTGGGCACCGCATGCTCCTAATTTCAGGGGTACTGAGTATATGTTTTTAAATAGCCTTAAAATTAGGCTAGGTGTGGTGGCTCACACCTGTAATCCTAGCACTCTGGCAGGCTGAGTGAGTGGATCGCTTGAGGTCAGGAGGTAGAGATCAGCTTGGACTACATGGCAAAACCCTGTCTCTACAAAATACACAGAAATTAGCTGGGCGAGGTGGCATGCGCCTGTAGTCCCAGCTATTTGGGGGGCTGAGGTGGGAGGACTGATCACTTGAACATGGGAGGTCGAGGCTGCAGTGAGTTAAGATCGTGCCACTGCACTCCAGCCTGGGTGACAACGTAAAACACTGTCTCAAAAATAAATAAATAAAAATAAAAGCCTTAAAATTGAAGAACAAGGCCAGTCATGGTGGCTCACACCTGTAATTTCAGCACTTTGAGAGGCTGAGATGGGAGGATTGCTTGAGCCCAGGAGTTTGAGACCAGCCTGGGTAACACAGAGACTCTGTCTTTACAAAAAAATTAAAAATTATCCAGGTGTGAAGGAGAACACCTGTGGTCACAGCTATTCAGGAAGCTGACACAGAAGGATCCCTTGAGCCCAAGAGTTTGAGGCTACAATGACCTAAGATCACACCGCTGCACTATAGCCTGGGCAAGAGAGTGAGACCCCGTCTCAAAAAAAGAAGAAATAAATAAATGAGAGTACAGTTGCATGAAGAGATGACAGAATAAAACCTTTCTGTCCTGTTCTCAGATATCATTAAAAACAAGGGAAAGGGAAAAAAAGACTCCATTGCTGATAATACTGAGAATCATCTAGACTCTGAACCTCAGTATATGAGAAAGTTCTCTCAAGAAAGGAAAGATGGAATAGGATAAAGGAAGACACCAGAAGCGAATGTCTGAAGACCTGTCTACACAGATGATGGAACTACTGTGGGGGCAAAACCAAGAATCTTTTCTTTGCACAGTGAAAACAGGGTGTGCGGGCTGGTGTCAGAAATTCATTCTGCATCTAGACTGAACCACAGCAAAGGGTGAGAGAGAGAGGGGAAAATAAACAGGCATGCTGTCTTTGAAGAAGGCAGAAGCAAAGCGAGGTGTGCAGTCCTCATTAGGGAAGAGGAGTTGGACTGGCGGGAGCAGAAGAAAGCAAAAAGACAAGGCAGATAAGCTGTAAGTCTGCCTTTCTTCATGGTCCAGGACACACAGCCCTCCTGCGCAAGTAACTCACTATCTTTCCATGCCCAGCTATTACCGCACCCTCAATTGACAGAAAAATGCAAGTGAGCTCACTGCAACCTTGGCATTATCAGCGCTGCACAAAGCCCTCTTCAGGACACAGCACAAGTACCATCTTATAAAATCCCCAGCAAGCCTCTGTCTCCCTGCAGTCAGCTCCTTTCTTGCTGACCTGCCCATTGTACCCTTGCAACATATTTTCACACTTTCTCTAATAAATTTGCCTTTCTCTGCCTCCAACTGTCATGGTAAATTCTTCTTACCACCCACACCATTGGCCCCAAATAGTCACTGCTCACCTGCAACACAAGGGCTGAAAAGGGCCACCCAGCAGCCCATCTTCATTGCCTAGAGGGAATCAGAGGCTGAAAGAACTCAGAGGGAAGACTCAGAACACCACTCTGGCCCCTCCTCAACACACAACTACAAATAACTAGCCTAGGAATAACTCATATCATTGAGAAAAATAATCATAAAAACTAGCATAGCAGCTATGCAAAGACTAAAGAAAGAAAAGGAAAAGGAAGATTCTGGTTAAACATGTGCTTTTATCTCTGTGTTCCCTCTGGAAACTCTACTAAAAAAAAGATCCCAAGGACAATGCTGAGTGAAAAGGAATCAACCATAGAAGAAAGAGGGCAACAAAAGTTTGGAAAACAGAAAGTCAAGGGGAGGAATAAGCCAAGGAGCAACAGGTTAGAACTTAAGAGTTATCCTGGAACATGGAAAGGAAGCTCTGAAGTCCATCCAGGGAGCAGCGAGACATATCCATCTCCTTACCTTGCACATCCTAGCAACTAATTCTCCTCAGCCCCTTTGGTAAGCAGATTTATTCTCTGGAAAAAATGAACTCAAGAGGGTTGAGGTACATAATGGCCCAAATGAATATGGGGGTGAAATGCTGGACCTGGACTATGATGACAAGTTATGTGAAAGTCAAACTGAACACTGCGACCCCTAGTCCCCTTCCTCCCACCCTGCTCCCACAACACAGACAGATTAAAGGATTCTTCTGGGCAGAAACTGAGCAACCCCAGAGGACACACCATTATCTGGGAATCTTCCATCAATGTTTGCTGCCTGCTGGCATCCTCAGGCATCAAGCTCCACCCAGGTACACAAAGTTTGCAAATATCTGTGTGTGTCCTCCTCACTCTTAAATATGAAGGAAGGCCTACAATGATTAGAAAACAGACAAAAAACTCCAAGATGAAAAACGTTTTCAAAAAGGAGAGAAAAAAGGGACATGGAAGAAAAAAAGACAATAAAGGGACCAGATGAAAGATATTTTTAAAAATCATTAATATCCTCGAATATAAAAGATGTCACATCCATTAAGGAAGAACAGGAGGCTATAAAAAAGGAACAGAGGAACTTGTAGACACTGAAAACATGATAGTTGAAATTTTAAAATTCAATAGAATGGAAAAATAATTACCTA
This sequence comes from Homo sapiens, assembly GCF_000001405.40. Taxonomy (NCBI): domain Eukaryota; kingdom Metazoa; phylum Chordata; class Mammalia; order Primates; family Hominidae; genus Homo; species Homo sapiens. The sequence goes on along the minus strand of NC_000010.11, from coordinate 12,207,246 downwards.
CAAAGTAGAACAAAAAAGACACGGAAAGAGAAAATAGAGAAGAAATAATAAAATTCAGAGAATTAAGCCAAAAGATCAAACACCAAAATAATAGGAGATCCAGAAAGAGAAGCAAGAAATTAGAGGAAATTATCAAAGATTCTTTTTTAATATCCTGAAACAGGAAAATTAAAGTCTTTAGAATGAAAGGGCTCACCAAGTACTTAACACAATAAATGGAGAAAAAATACCTTAAATGGGCAAAAATGGATACAATAATGCTTCCAATCTTTTTTTTTTTTTTTTTTTGAGATGGAGTCTCGCTCTGTTGCCCACGCTGGAGTGCAGTGGCGTGATTTCAGCTCATTGCAAGGTCTACCTCCCGGGTTCAGGCCATTCTCCTGCCTCAGCCTCCCGAGTAGCTGGGACTCCAGGCGCCCGCCACCACACCCGGCTAATTTTTTTGCATTTTTAGTAGAGATGGGGTTTCACCGTGTTGGCCAGGATGGTCTCGATCTCCTGACCTTGTGATCCGCCCTCCTTGGCCTCCTAAAGCACTGGGATTACAGGCATAAGCCACCGCATCTGACCTCATGCCCAGATAATTTTTGTATTTTTACTAGAGATGGGGTTTCGCCATGTTGGTCAGTCTGGTCTCAAACTGCTGGCCTCAGATAATCGAACCGCCTTGGCCTCCCAAAGTGCTGGGATTACAGGCATGAGCCACTGCACCCGGCCTTCCCCAAGTTTTAATCAACTCTTTGTAATTCTTGCTTTTCCAGATTCACAAAGCTAAGAACCAGTCAAAGCTAAGAACTGTTCTATAGTGGAAATACTAACACACTGTCAGCGTGTGAATCCCTGCCCAAGGGGCCAGCCTTTCTCTCTTACGTCTCTCTTTAAATGCCACATAATATTTTCAAATGCAACATTATCTTTAACATGGCTGCTTACCTAATCTTACAATATAAGATGAAATATGAAAATGTATTCTACCACTCTAAAAATCACTTACCATATTTGTTAGTATAACAACATACATTTTAAAAAACATACTTGTTATCAAGGTATTCATATAGTTCTTCAGAAATTATTGCAGTGCCTACTGTAAAGTATGACAAATTTTATTCACTGTAAAAGGTGACAATGTATAAAAATATGCAAGTTTGGCCAAGTACGGTGGCTCACGCCTGTAATCCCAGCACTTTGGGAGGCCAAGGCGGGTGGATCATGAGGTCAGGAGTTCAAGACTAGCCTGGCCAAAATAGTGAAACCCCATCTCTACTAAAAATACAAAAAAAATTAGCTGGGCGTGGTCGCAGGCACCTGTAGTCCCAGCTACTCAGGAGGCTGAGGCAAGGGAATCGCTTGAACCCGGTAGGCAGAGGTTGCAGTGGGCCAAGATCGTGCCCCTGCACTCCAGCCTAGGTGACACAGTGAGACTCTGCCTCAAAAAAAAAAAAAAAGTGAAAGTTTATTAGACTTGGCTTTCTAAGGTAACCCTCTGCATGCAGAGAACTAAATGGATAAAGTATGGTGCTAATATTTAGGATGCTATATTTTCTATATTACAACTTACACAGAGCTGGCACACCAGAGCAGTGGCTCTAGAGGCAGGCAGACAGAGTTTAAATATCTCAGTTCTGCCACTGTCAGCCAAGAACTTTGCATCAATATGCCATCTATAAAACTGGGAAAATAGCAACTACTTCACAGAATTGTGAAGAATCAAAATATGAATATGCCTAATGTATTTTATAATTGGCATCTACTGGTTGAGGATCCTATATCCAAAATGCTTGGGGTCAAAAGTGTTTGGGATTTTGGAGTATTTGCATATATATGAGATATCTTAGGGATGGGACCCAAGTCTAAACGTAAACTCCTGTTTGTTGCAGCACTGTTTACAATAGCTAAGATTTGGAAGCCACCTAAGTGCTCACCAACTGATGATGGATAAAGAAAATGTGGTACATATACACAATGGAGTACTATTCAGTCATTAAAAAAGAATGAGATCCAGTCGTTTGCAACAAAATGGATGAAACTGGAGATCATTATGTTAAGTGAAGTAAGCCAGGCACAGGAAGACAAACACCACGTTTTCACTTATCTGTGGGATCTAAAAACTAATTGAACTCATGGATATAGAGAGTAGAAAGATGGTTAGCAAAGGCTGTGAAGGGTAGTAGGGGACTGTGAGGAGGTGGGGGTTAATGAGTACCAAAAAAAGTAGAAAGAATGAATAAGACCTTTTTTTTTTTTTTTTTTTTTTGATATGGAGTCTCACTCTGTCATCCAGGCTGGAGTGCAGTGGCACGATCTCGGCTCACTGCAGCCTCCATCTTCCAGGTTCAGGTGATTCTCTTGCCTCAGCCTCCTGAGCAGCTGAGATTACAGGCGCCTGCCACCATGCCCAGCTAATTTTTGTAGTTTTAGTTGAGACGGGGTTTCACCATGTTGGGCCAGGCTGGTCTTGAACTCCTGACCTCAGGTGATCTGCCCACCTGAGCCTCCAAAAGTGCTGGAATTACAGGCATGAGCCACAGCACCCGACCACAGACCTACTACTTGACAGAACAATAGAGTGACTATAGTCAATAATAACTGTACATCTAAAAATAAAGACTGTAATTGGATTGTTTGCAACTTAATGAATAAATGCTTGAGGGGATGGACACCCCTTTCTCCACGATGTGCTAATGTCACATTGCATTCCTGGATCAAAACATCTCTTGTTCCCCATAAATATGTACACTATGTACCCACAAAAACTAAAAATTAAAAAATTTAAAAAAATCATTTATGTGTCAGTGTCACATACATCTTATACACATGGCTCAAAGGTAATTTTATACAATATTCAGAAAGCAAAAATGTCACTATCTCAGCACCCATCTGGACAGATTTCAGATTTTCTAATTAGGGATGCTCAACTCATTTTACTATTCAGCCTTAAGGGAGACAAGGTCAGGAAAGAACTCGTGACCAAGAAGAAACAATGAGGATTAGTGCCTGGAAGGGAGGTACCACCTGCGTCAGACCCAGTGTGTGGGCTCAGTTCAAGTATCACCTTACTGTAAACACTTTCTGGATGACCCCAGCTCACAGTGATTAATTAAACCCCAAATACATTACTTATCAGAATACCTGATACTTTTTTTTTTTTTTTTTTGAGACAAGGTCTTGCTCTGTTGCCCAGGCTGGAGTGCAGAGGCATGATCATAGCTCACTGCAGCCTCCAATTCCTGGGTTCAAGCCATCCTTGTGTGTCAGCCTCCTGAGCAGCTGGGACTACAGGTGTGTGCCAACACGCCCAGCTAATTTCTTATTTTTTTGTAGAGATGGGGCCCCACTATGTTGGCCAGACTGGTCTCCATCTCCTGGCCTCAAGTGATCCTCTTACCTCCGCCTCCTAAAGTGCTAGATTACAGGCATGAGCCACCACAGCTGGTTGATGCTTTTATTCAAAAACATTTTTCGCAACACAACTCAAGACATTTATTTATTTATTTATGTTTGACTTGCTAATAAGCCTAGACTCCTACGGTAGGATGCCCTGCTCATCTTGTTACGCTAGTATCAAGCTTGGTGCCCGTTTCCTTGGTGCCCATCTCATACTAGGCATGCAATAACTGTTCAGTGAAATTGAATCACTGTCTCTATCAGAAAAGCACATTGCCAGCCTCCTTTCCTACACCCACAGCAGGCAACGAGAATCAAACCAAGCATGCTTTCTCACCGAACCCTGGATGCAGCCTCAGAATCCTCTACATATCACTCCAGGAAACCATTACCATTAGATCTGAGTCGGCAAACAAGGTAAACTAGTCATCATACTTGGCCTATTCTATTCACTGAACTCAGTAGAGGTTACCATGGAGAGAAAGTAGGATAAGCATGTTCATTCACTCATTCAACCAATATTTATTGAACCCAGACTATGTGCTAAATTCTAACTGTAAACAAGACTATACCTTATAGAGTCTGGAAAGAAAGGCATGTACTATATGTGGAAGTAATGGAGGATGAGGCATGAAGAATTAGGGTCCATGGCAGACCTCCACAGCCATCTCCCACTTTCTTGTGAAGTACAAAGAGCTTCCGGATAGCTGAACACATGGAGCTTCTGGAAGGTGGCACGTGTAGGTAGGGCATGGAAGATCTGCATCCCTTCCCCTACACCTCACCCTACGCATCTCTTCATCTGTATCCATTATTAATATCCTTTATTTTTGTTTGTTTGGTTTTTTGAGACGGAGTCTCGCTCTGTCGCCCAGGCTGGGGTGCAATGGTGCGATCTCAGCTCACTGCAACCTCCACTTCCCAGGTTTAAGTGATTCTCCTACCTAAGCTTCCTGAGTAGCTGGGATTACAGGAGTGCGCCACCACGTCTGGCTAAGTTCTGTATTTTTAGTAGAGATGTGGTTTCGCCATGTTGGCCAAGCCGGTCTCAAATTCCTAACCTCAAGTGATCCGCCCGCCTTGGGCTCCCAAAGTGCTGGGATTACAGGCGTGAGCCACCACACCAGGGCTGTAACATCCTTTATGATAAACCGGTAAACCGAAGTAAATGTTTCCCTCAGTTCTGCGAGCTGCTCTAGCAAATGAATCAAACCCAAGGAGGGACCCTCATTTCTAGCCGCCTGGTCAGTTGCACAGGTAGAGGCACCTGGGGCTTGCAGCTGACATCAGAGTGGGGGGCAGTCTTTGTGAGACTGAGCCTCAACCTGTGGGATCTGATGCTCCTCCAGGTAGACAGTGTCAACTGAATTGGACTGGAGGACCCTTAGCTGGTGTCTGCTGCAGAACCGATTGCTTCTTGGTGGGAAGAAAACCCCACACATGTGGTCACAGAGGTCTTCTGTGTTGATTGTTGTGGTGTGAGAGCAGAGGAAAAACGGTTTGCATTTTTTCCACTTACACAGACATAAAAGAATACATACTATATAACTCCACTTATACGAAATTCTAGAACTGACGAAACTGAACTAAGAAAGGGACAAGAGAAACCTTTCTGGGGAATGAAAGTGTTCCATGTTTTGAATGGAGTGACGGTGAAACAGGTGTAACCATTTAGCAACATTCGCCAAGTTGTACACTTAAGACCTATACATTTTATCATAAATGTACCTCATTTAAATTATACTTAAAATTTTCAAGTTTTTATCTGTAGAAGTAACCTAACCTAAAATCACTAACTTTTCAAAATTCTCAACAGATTGTGAGGTTTCAAAAAGGCTCCACAGACAATGCTTCTCTCAACCTGAGCAAATGACCATCTTCATTCATCTAGTTGTTCTATTAGTAATCTGAGAGGAATTCTTGACACATTCCTGTCATCAAGTTCTGAAGGTGCAAGCTCCCAATCTTCTGAAACCCACTTCCTCCCTCAACCCCACTGTCACCATCTTAGTTCAAGCCACTAGCAGGTCTCACCCAGTCAAATGCAATATCCTCCTAACCCGTCTTCCATTTCCACAGTCACCTGCCACAGCTGCAAACTGAAATCTGATCGAGTCATTCTCTTGCTCAGAGCCCTTCAATGCCTTCCTGACGTTCTCAGAATAAATTGCAGCATCTTTAACATGACTCCCACACACACCCCTAATCTTAACTGTCCTCCCCCATGTCATCAACTGTGAATCTCATGCCACTTACCCTTCTCTCACTCCCCATACTCTAGCTACATGACCTTTCCCAAGCTTCTTGTATGTCAAGATCTTCCAGGCCTAGAGCCTTCATTAATGCTGTTCCCCCCACCTGGAAGATTCTTCCCTTCACCCTTCAACTGACTACATTCCTCCAATCTTCACATCTCAGAGGCTCCAAAGATCCTTCTTCGGAGCATTCCCCGACCCTCCTCGCGATCCTCAGCTCTCCCAGCAATTTAAGGGTAATGACCACCCCACTTTCTGCATAGCACTTATCCCAATTTTCATTATATATTCTCTTGTGTGTTTGCTATGTTCATCTTAGATCAATGATAATAAAAGTAGTTCCATGTTTTAAGAGCATACAATATAGTGGGCATTAGACTGAACATTTTATGTATTATCACTTTGTATCTTTGCAATGACCCTACAAAGTAAGTTCTATACTGTCATTTGCCCAATATTCAGACAAGGAAACTGAGGCACAGAGGGAAGGGCTAGAAAATAGCAAAGATATTACTTAAAATTAAGCAATCTGACTAAAGAAACAGCACCATGCCATGCTGGCTTTCACAAATATGAAGCTGAACTGTCAACTCCAAAAGGGCAGGGTCCCTATGTGATTTGTGGGTTACTGTAAAGCACTGTATCGTGTTGTTTAACAGTACTTTTTTTTTTTTGAGACGAAGTTTAGCTCTTGTTGTCCAGGCTGGAGCGCAATGGCATGATCTCGGCTCACTGCAACCTCCACCTCCTGCGTTCAAGTAATTCTCCTGCCTCGGCTTCCCGAGTAGTAGGAATCAGAGGTGCCCACCACCATGCCCGGCTAATTTTTGTGTTTTTAGTAGAGATGAGGTTTCACCATGTTGGTCAGGCTGGTCTTGAACTCCTGACCTCAGGTGATCCACCCAACTCGGCCTCCCAAAGTGCTGGGATTACAGGCATGAGCCACCGCGCCCAGCCCTGTTTAACAGTATTTAACATCAGTGCTTGCCTAAGCCACAGGCCATGCAAACATCTGGCCAGGGAGAATCATCATAGGAGCTCTTCAACATGTTTACACTACTGAGATTTACCAATTATTTTCTAATATTAAAAGCTATTTTACTTATAGTCTCATTTACATAAGCTTATTATATATAAGCTCATTTATAAAGCAAATAGGTACACGTATTTGAGAATAAAACTGACTGGGCACAGTGGCTCACGCCTGTAATCCCAACACTTTGGGAGGCTGAAGCAGGTGGATCACCTGAGGTCAGGAGTTCAAGACAGCCCGGCCAACATGGTGAAACCCCATCCCTACTAAAAATACAAAAATTAGCTGGATGTGGTGGCGCACACCTGTTGTCCCAGCTAGTTGGGAGGCTGTAGCAAGAAAATCACTTGAACCTGGGAGGCAGAGATTGCAGTGAGCTGAGATTGAGCCACTGCACTCCAGCCTGGCTGACAGAGCAAGACTCCATCTTTAAAAAAAAAAAAAAAAAAAAAAATGCCGAGTGCGGTGGCTCAGGCCTATAATCCCAGCACTTTGGGAGGCCGAGGCAGCCAGATCACGAGGTCAGGAGATCAAGACCATCCTGGCTAAGACAGTAAAACCCCATCTCTACTAAAAATAAAAAAAATTAGCCAGGCGTGGTGGTGGGCGCCTGTAGTCCCAGCTACTTGGAGGCTGAGGCAGGAGAATAGCGTGAACCCGGGAGGCAGACCTTGAAGTGAGCTGAGATCACGCCACTGCACTCCAGCCTGGGTGACAGAGCGAGACTCTGTCTCAAAAGAAAAACAAAACAAAAAAAATTATATCTGTAAATATCCTAAAGTTGAGACTTATCTGACTTTCCTACTGTTTCCTCAGCCTCAAATTATTCAAAGTTAATGAGGCGCTACATTAATAATTTTCAGGTTATTGAGGCTCTGTGAATACCAAAAACAGAAATATAATCCAGAAAACCACACTAAAAACCCAACAGGCAAAAATATGGGGTCCAGTTAGTAGTACTGAAAACACACAATTCTTACTGTATTTCTATAGTTCCTTCATCCAACAAATGTTTATCAAGCACTTCTGCTATATCAGGCACTGTTCCATGAGCTGGGGTGAACAAATGGGCCAAGTCCCTGTTTTCATGAAACTGCATTCTAATGGAACAATTAACAATTGTCAGGTGGAAGTAAGTGTTATGCAGAAAAATGAAGGGAGGTCAGGGCATAGGGTTACTGTCAGGCTATTTTAGAAAGGCTGGTGAGGGCTGAACACTCATAACGTGACTTCTGAGCAGACTCGAATTAAAAAATGAGAACTTCACTAAATCCTATGATTCTTCAACGTTTTCAAGTTTGCATCCAAAAGACTGAAACACAGTAACTTCTTCCCTTTATTCTATAAATAGGGAAACTACCTGAACAGCTTCTAGAAAGTGGAGGGGGGGCCACGGTAGTTCAATCGTGGGGAAGAAAATGTTGAGGAATTAGATGATAAAGCCTGTTTGCAACAGTGAATTTTTAATCGTCAAAACTGAAGGATCTCAAAGAATTTTAATATGTACTTCCCCCACCCTGCTACCGTCAGAAGGAAAAGTTGTCATCATAACTGTTTTCTAAAGACAGAGATGAAAGGAACTGCTCAATTTCACAACTTGTAATTATTAGAGGGAAAAGTACTTAATGTTGAAAATATTAAGTGAACATTGAGAAGGAATATGAGACAAAGATCAGCACATCATTTTGGCTAGGAGAGAAAAAGAGCTAAAGGGAAAGAATGGTGCCTAAGCTAATTCATTCATTTTATGTGTTTCTTTATGATAAAGTTTAAGAAATTTTTTTCTAAAATACTTTACCTTCCTGAAACCACCAGAGTTCCATCATCGAGTAAATAATCCTTCACATTCTGAGGAAGTGGAAGAATGACACTAAAAAAAAAACACCAAAAAAGGCATCATTTTAAAAGACCAACTATAAGCAGAGAGAAAAATCTCTACACTTGATTAATTTTGGAATTGTCTTTCTTTTAATATAAAGTAGAAAATGTTAATGATGTACATTTGGTAGCAGTAGACAAGAAATCAGAATAATAAGATTACTGCGGTTCATCTTATTGCCACAATGGTCTTTGTAGTAAACAAAAACCAGCCAAATCCAAACCACCAGATGGAAATCACAGTATGAAAGCAACAAGCTCAAAAGGATTCTGAGTGAGCACAACATTTATGTGTCTTTAAGAAATCAGAGACCAGCAGATATTTGCTGCAACACAGGAAATGCAGCAAACCCAACTAGAAGATGACTAGCATTTGGTCACCTTCTAAAGATAGAGGGCAGAAGTAGAGTCAAGATCTGGAAACCATTCTTGGGTTGGCAGTGAGCACCTACCGCTAAGAATTCATGATACTTTTGGATGTGTCTTGCTGGCTTTCTATTCAACTGATCACCAGAGATATAAAGCTGCTTAAACTAGGCATGCTTTAGCTTAATTTGTTTCAGGTAATCATAATTAAGGATGGCAAAGCCATACCTGAAGTCTCTTAAAAACTTATGGGATAATTTGTTTTTTACCTTGAAATAATAAATTATCAAAAAGCCCTACCACAGATCCCTAAGAGTGCTGGTATTATTTTGATTTTGAGGCATATACATCTTCAAAAAGTGGAAAAGATTACAGCCTGCTTTCCCGAAGTTAACAGAACATCAATGACTTATAACATGTCTCATTTATTTATGGAAGAAGTTTTTTTTGGCACATTACAAATGGTTTTTTTGCACAAAAAAGAGTATTCATGGGCTACTTCGGTTTTAAAAATAAGTATTTTTATTTATTTTTAAATAAATAAAAGATCACTGCCACTGCACTCCAGCTTGGGCGACAGAGCAAAAACTTCGGTTTTAAAAATAAATATTTGATTTATCAAAGGTACAATTTCACATTCAAAAATCTAGTTCTGGCCGGGCGCGGTGGCTCACACCTGTAATCCCAGCACTTTGGGAGGCCGAGGCGGGCGGATCACGAGGTCAGGCAATCGAGACCATCCTGGCTAACACGGTGAAAACCCCGCCTCTACTAAAAATACAAAAAATTAGCCGGGGGTGGTGGCGGGCGCCTGTAGTCCCAGCTACTCAGGAAGCTGAGGCAGGAGAATGGCGTGAACTCGGGAAGGGAAGCTTGCAGTGAGCCAAGATCGCTGCCACTGCACTCCAGCTTGGGCGACAGAACAAAACTCTGTCTCAAAAAAAAAAAATCTAGTTCTTCAGGCTTTTAATTTCTTCTAACAAATCTTATTACGTTTGAAAATCTACTAAATTTTAAACAATTTCAAGCGAAACTTTGCAACTTAAAAGTCTCTTTAAAATTTTAAATTCTATTCATAAACCACTCAATTTTCTTTCTTAATATGTCTATTTGCTGATTACAAATAAGCCTTCCTAAGTATTTTACTCTTACAAAGCTAACAAGCGAAATTGTTAAGTACAATGAATCTAAGGTTCTACCACACATTCCAATACTATTTAAGAACTTGAAACTTTTCTTATACATTTTAACCATTCTAAGCCAGTTACACATTTTCAAGTACATATCCGATCTTTATTGAATGAAACCATCATATAATGAATCAGCAATTACTGAAATGTTGGCTCAGAAAATCAGTTAAGTGCAAAGCCCAGATTTTCTATCAACGCCTTTAAAAAAACTGAGAGATGAAATTGTATATATTAATACTTGCCGCCTACCTGATGTTTTTAAGTATATATACACTGTGGAATAAATTTAGCTAACAAATGCATTGCCTAACATAGTTATTTTTGTGGTGAGAACACTAACATCCACTCTCCGTTTTTCAAGAATACGTATATCGTCATTAACTATAGCCTCCATGCTGTACGACATATCTGTGAACTTGTTCTCGTATCTAACTGTAATTACGTATCCTTTCACCTTCCCAATCTCCATCCTCTGGGGTGATGGCGAAAAGCAATTAATTCTCCGAGTGCACTTAGGCAGTGATCACCTTGCGCCTGGGGCCATTCTAAAAGTAGTGGTGGTGAACTCCCAAGCCTAAACTAGGTTAATCCACTATTCCTCCCGCCTCCGACCCTCACTGAAAACCACAACTGACCCTCCTAGCCAGCACACTCGCTGGCTCGCAACAGGACGCAGACAATTGCTGATGTACTTCCCTCTCGACACACTCCCTCCCATGCAGTCGCTAGAAGGCCTGCATTTTTTTGGATAGCAGTAAGATTCGCTCAGAAGTCGCAGTTCCCTTTTGCCGGTCGACCGGGCGAACCCCCTCCCATCTCACCTCTTGATGGTAACGCCTCGGAAGAACGGGTACCACGCGGAGAACTGGCAGTGAAGCACATGCTCCTTCTTCATCCTCCAGCTGCCGCCGCTGCTGCCTTTCCCTCTCCTGCCTGCACCCTCCCGGAACTCTGGGCGCCGGCCCCGGAAGTGCCCGCCGAGCTATTTTGGTTCAAGGACTCTTCCGGTCCCTAAAGCAAGAAGGAAGACCGAGAAAAGGAAGCGGAGGAGAATCCCGGGGCATACGCTTGACACACACGCATACAAAAAGAGCTTTAGTCTCGAAAGAGGAATTACCGAAGTGTCGAGAGAGGAATTTTAAGAAGTTTACAACTCCGTCTTCGCCCTAAACGCACGCTGACCCGGAAAGTAATCTCCTGAAGCTAGGTCAAAGGCGGGGGTTCTACGGATGCCGGAAGGAGGGTGCGCGCCCATCCTTTTAGCACCGCGAGAGGCGCCGGTGTTTCGAGCCGTGGCACCGGCATCGGCTGACACTGCTGCCTCCAGCTAGTTATTTCGTCCTCTTCCGTTCTTCACCCCTACACCTTGGAGTAAGTAACCGGGGCAAGCCAGTCACAGCACAAAACCTCTTTGGGGAGGAGAAGAAGAAGGGGAAAGGGACCACATCTGCATGGTGCGTGCAGCCGCGCGGTGTCTCCCAGGCTGCGGCTGGGCACGCGTCCAGGCGCCCAAGAGGGAAACTGGGGATTGGAGGGAAATTGTGGATTGGAGAGGAAGAGCCTGGGCTACTCCGAGTAAAGAAAGCGGGGAACACCACAGCTAAGTGTTAGTTCCAGTGTAAAGATTGCAGCATCTGCAGAGGAGTAGAATGCTTGGTAGAGGGAATACCGCCTGTACGATCCTGGAGGGTTCGACTTTGGGAGGTAAAAGGCGAGAGGTAAATGTGAGAAAGCAGAGGAAAGAGGAGTCTCCTTGGAGCGCTGAATTCGTTTAGTCTGGCCTCGCAAAAGTTGTCAACCTGGAAAAAACGCAGATTTTTATCAGTATTCCTGCGATGATCGAATCATAAGACTGGAAGAATTCGAATCGAACTTGTACTATCGTTTTTTCCTTTGCTTCACTCCTGTCACCCAGCAAAGTTCAGTTTTGTTTGTTTCGTTAAAAGAATGAGAAGTAACTAGCTGCTTTTATTTATTTATTTGAGACGGAGTCTCACTCTGTGCCCAGATTGGAGTGCAGTGGCGCAATCTTGGCTCACTGCAACCTCCGCCTCCTGGGTTTAAGTGATTCTCCTGCCTTAGCTTCTCGAGTAGCTGAGAGCGCGCGCGCGCCACTACGCCGGCTAATTTTTGTGTTTTTAGTAGAGACGGCGTTTCACCATATTTGCCAGGCTGGTCTCGAACTCCTAACCTTAGGTGATCTGCCCGCCTCAGCCTCCCAAAGTGCTGGGTTTACAAGGCGTGAGCCACGGCCCCGGGCCTACCAACCAGCCGCTTTTAACCCCTAGTCGTGTCGCTTACCACACGAGCTTTAGGCTTGCGCGAGGCATCTGCGTCTAAAAGTATCTCCTTAAATGTACATTCTTCCTGGTTCACCTAAGTAGTTTTAAATTAGAAACAGCCCCACCGACTGCAGGCCTCTTCAGAAGGGTGTTCCTTAGAATAATAAACAATTATCTGCGTATTTTGAGTTAGAAACTCTTCCCCCCAGGAATATATACATTGTTTTGGGTTGTGTTTTGTTTTTCTCAAAAATGTTACTGGCTAAGTGGCTAGTTGGAAGCAGTGCTTTAAAGAATACATTTTCAAAGCAGAGGTAAATAGATTATAATGTTGCAGAGTATGTTGGTGGGGATGGACAGTCATGATTCATCATTTATGCCTTGATCCGGAACTATGCAGTCCTTTCTGATTTGAGGGAAAGAAGCAATATTGTATATATGTCTGGAGGGTGGTGCCAGAAAGACTTAATGGCAGACAGGAGCAGTCGCTCAAATAATTGTTTTGATTTGACTTAGAAAGTAAAAAATTGCGCGGAAGGAGATGTTAGCATCGATGGGGGATTTATTTAGGTCAGATGTTTTCTAATGAAGATAGGAATGAATGTACGGAAGAGAATAGATCCCGGGAACATAGCCCTTCTGCGAGGAGCAGTACTTTAACAGCCCAAGAAACATTTGAGCATAGGCCGGGCGCGGTGCCTCATGCCTGTGATCCCAGCACTCTGGGAGGCCGAGGCGGGCGCATCACCTGAGGTCAGGAGTTTGACCAGCCTGTCCAACATGGCGAAACCCCGTCCCTACTAAAATATCAAAAATTAGCCGGGCGTGTTGGCGCATGCCTGTAGTCCCAGCTACTCGGGAGGCTGAGGCAGGAGAATCGCTTGAATCCGGGAGGCGGAGGTTGCGATGAGCCGAGATCGCGCCACTGCACTCCAGCCTGGCAACAGAGCGAGACTCTTTTTTTTCCGTCTCGGGAAAAAAAAAAAAAAGAGTGTAGAGATTAAGGCAGTTGCAAAGCTTTAATATAGAATTGCAGTTGTGTGTAGAAAAGCAGCTAAGTTTGTAAGCTTAAATATATAGATACTACAGGGAAGGAATTTTTATAGATACCTTTTATTCAGGCAGTATACTTTAGAAGTGTGTTCAATGACTTTTTGGTATTACAGTTGGTTTTAAGTAACTTGTTACACATTTAACCAGCATCAAATAAATTGACATTATACATAGGAGATGCTCAAATACTTTGAATGGATACAGCTAAATGAGGGTTCACTGTATTTTAACCACCGTGGTTGTCTTCACTAAGCCATGAAGTCATTGTATTCATCAAGTTTCTCCAATAAAACCTTTCAACAGTGGAAATATTTGCTTTTTCTCCTGCATGCTGAAAAGTCAGTAGTCATGTGATTATGGGGGAGGAGATTTATTGTGCAATTCCTAATGAAGTAATGAAAAAACACATTTCTTTCTCTGAATCCATAGCATGACTAATCATCCTAGATTAAGATTTTCACCTGTCTGCTGGTTTTCTTCATCTGGATGTCTGCTATCACCTCAAACAAGCGTGTACAGATTTGAGCTCTGCATCACCCCTTTTTTCTTCCGATGTCCCAGTCTCCCTTAAAACTGTCTTCGTGGAAATTAAATGTCACTTTGCCACGGCTACCACTCTACTCCAGACCTGTCATCTCCTGCCTGGACTATCTTTACAGTGTCGTTACTATACGTCTGTAACCAATTCACCTTCCCAAGGGTCATTACAGTCAGTTCACTCTTGCTCAACCAGCATTAAATGTGAGGATTTTAAACCACCTGCTAAATGATTCCTGGAGATCACCAAGTAGCATAATTTCAGTAAACGTTAATTACTCCCTGCCCACCCAACTGCCACACCTGAAGAGAATGAAAAAAAAACCCATAAGTGAATTCAATTGTGGGTACCCAAATTTTTTACCATAAATGGCACAAAAGAAGGATACATCAGAATATTATCCTTTTTTTTTCTTTTGAGACAGAGTCTCGCTCTGTCGCCCAGGCTGGAATGCAGTGGTGCAATCTTGGCTCACTGCAACTGCTGCCTCCTAGGTTCAGGCTTTTCTCGTGCCTCAGTCTCCCAAGTAGCTGGGACTACTGGCGTGTGCCACCTCACCCAGCTAATTTTTTGTATTTTTAGCAGAGATGGGGGTTTCACTATGTTGGTTAGGCTCGAACTCCTGACCTCAAGTGATCCACCTGCCTTGGCCTCCGAAAGCGCTGGGATTACAGGCATGAGCCACCGAGCCCGGCCAGAATATTATCTTTTAAAAATAGAATTTAAAAATTTTTAACTATGACCAAAATTATTAAATATAACTGCAAATTATTTGATTCTTTGTTCCTTCTAAATCAAGTGACTTTTCTTTGTAATTATTCTGCCAGAATGTAGATTGCCACTTTAGACATGCCCAATTTGATGCCTGACTTTAACAAGACAATCATAAAGTAAGTTATTACTGCAAAAAAAATTGATCCTCTCTCCCACTTAATTTCTTTTCTTTTCTTTTCTTTTTTTTTTTGGAGACAGAGTCTCACTCTGTCACCATGCTGGAGTGTAGTGGCATGATCTCGGCTCACTGCAACCTCCACCTCCCTCGTTCAAGCGATTCTCCTGCCTCAGCTCCCCACTTAATTTCTTTCAAAGTGCCTTGTTGATTTCCCTATTCAATTATTAAACTGTTCCAAGTGCCTGACCCTCTTTTGTCAGTCAGAGGCTCTACTTATGATGTGGGCTCCTGCATCTTGTATTTGGTTGAGTATTGTTGATATTAACAATATTCATCTTTTATCAGGAGAGACCTAGCCAACATACAATTTCTTGTTAGGATTTTTTGCTTCACTTTGCAGCCTCAGCAGATGGCCGGGATTCGGGTACGGTGATTGAGTAATGAGCCTCAGTGCCAACTGCAGAACCAGGCTTTTGAGTTCATAGTTTAACTTCTGGAATCTAAACTCCCACTTAACTCTTTATGCAGCTGTTGTTACTAATACTGGCATACTGAAGTTGGTGAAAAATTAATCACTTCCTCCCTTTCTGTAGAGGGCTGTACTTGCTGCCTAACCCCAAAATTAGTTTATTTTGGTGTTTGTTTTTTCATTTTTTACATAGGATCTCACTATGTTTCCTAGGGTCATCATGAATTCCTCAGCTCAAGCGATCCTCCCACCTCAGCCTCCACAAGTAGCCGGGACTATAGGCACATGCAGTGCATGGCACTGGCCCCCAAAACTACCTCATATCACAACAGTAATTTGTGCCATGCCAGTTAGCTTTGTGTGCTTTGTTGGCCTGCAGTTTTGGGGGCAGAGATCCAGCCAAATCTGTGTATGGCCTTAGAAATGTGTTCGCAAATCATCATTATATGTGGAGTTGTTTTGGGAGTTTTGTGGTGGTGGTTTTTCCTTTGTGGTTTTTTTTGTTTTGTTTTGTTTTTGTTTTTGAGACGGAGTCTTGCTCTGTCGCCTAGGCTGGAGTGCAGTGGCGCAATCTTGGCTCACTGCAAGCTCCACCTCCCGGGTTCATGCCATTCTCCTGCCTCAGCCTCCTGAGTAGCCCGGACTACAGCGCCCACCACCAAGCCTGGCTAATTTTTTTGTATTTTTAGTAGAGATGGGGTTTCACCATGTTAGCCAGGATGGTCTCGATCTCCTGACCTCGTGATCCACCCGCCTCGGCCTCCCCAAGTGCTGGGATTATAGGCATGAGCCACTGTGCCCGGCCTTTCCTTTGTTTTTTAAAGGAGAAAGTGGAGGAGGAGCTTGAGAACCACAGAGCTCGCCATACACTCAGAATTTCTCACCCTTGCCCCGGTGTCTCTGCCTTTGTTCATGTGGTGTCTTCTAGTTGGAATGCTTTCTCTGCACTCTTGGTCTCTAAACCATGTCTTCACATCAAACTATCTTTTAAAAATCTTGGCTGGGTGTGATGGCTCACCCCTGTAATCCCAGTGCTGTGGGAGGCCGAGGTGGGTGGATCACTTGAGGTCAGGAGTTCGAAACCAGCCTGGCCAATATGGTGAAACCCCGTCTCTACTAAAAATGCAAAAATCAGCCGGGTGTGGTGGTACAGGCCTGTAATCCCAGCTGTTCAGGAGGCTGAGGCAGGAGAATTGCTTCAACCTGGGAGGTGGAGGTTGCAGTGAGCCGAGATCATGCCATTGCACTCCAGCCTGGGTGTTGCAGCGAGATTCAGTCTCAAAAAAAAAAAAAAAAAAAAGGCTTTATCATTTTCCTCACTGCCTCCCAAGGGGATGTGTGTGTCCCTCCTTTAAAACATCCTGGTATGGTGGTGTCTCTGAGGCAGGTCTTTGCCCCAGATGTGCTTGCTAAACTGTAACGTGCTCAAGGGCAAGCATAGTGGTCAGTGTGCACTGAGTATATACACAGACGTTTCCACTGCTGGTGCTCTCGAAGCTAGTTAGAGACTGCTAGTTAGCCTGCCACTGTGCAAGACGTCTAAAAATCTTACAGCATTTCCCCTCACTAGTGTTTTTTTTATGCTCTGGAGAATTACACATCCAACACATCCTAGACCTTCAGTGTTCAAACTGAACTGAGTTAAAACGATTTATGAGAATTAAAACAGCTTGTGACTTTAAAGACTAAGGAAAATCATAAATGAAATTGTAGAACACTCGCTGGCGCGGTGACTCACGCCTGTAATTCCAGCACTTTGGCAGGCCGAGGCGGGTGGATCACGAGGTCAGGAGATCGAGACCATCCTAACACGGTGAAACCCCGTCTCTCCTAAAAATACAAAAAATTAATCAGGCATGGTGGCAGGTACCTGTAATCCCAGCTACTTGGGAGGCTGAGGCAGGAGAATGGCATGAACCCAGGAGGCGGAGCTTGCAGTGAGCGGAGATCGCGCCACTGCACTCCAGCCTGGGCGACAAGGCAAGACTCTGTCTCAAAAAAAAAAAAAAAAATTGTAGAACACTCAACATCGTGTACATGTATCTTTTTCATACCATACACATATTGGCAATATGCAAATTACCTTAAATTCTAACTAATGAAGTGGATAAAATTTATATCAAAGTTTGCTTTTAAATCTTGAAATAGCGTTGAGTCAGTGAAGGCAAACTCCGTTGCAGTGGCGGAGACGCTGGCTTACAAAGCACGGAATTTAAAGCTCATTTCTCGTTCTTTCTGCAGCGTGTTGCTGGCAGTGACTGGCCCCCGAATGGCACTATTTGGCTTCTGCTTTTGAAATGGTGCTAAAAACAACATTCCTTTTCTGTTTCTAAAAATTTCTGAGGTACTTTTACAGTCCTTCTGAAATGTTTGGGAATCTCATAGTTAAGAATATGCTCTTGAAATAGCTCATTTTTGTCATTCACGGAATCAGTGGATTGCTGCACGATACTGTTTCCCTTTGAGGCTGATTGCATTCCAAAGAAATACTCTCTTTTAGCGGCCAGGCACGGTGGTTCACGCCTGTAATCCCAGCACTTTGGGAGGCTGAGGCTGGTGGATCACCTGAGGTCAGGAGTTCGAGGCCAGCCTGCCCAACATGGCAAAACCCCATCTCTACTAAAAATGTAAAAATTAGCCGGGTGCAGTGGTAGGAGCCTGTAATCCCAGGTACTCGGGAGGCTGAGGCAGGAGAATCGCTTGAATCCGTGAGGCAGAGGTTGCAGTGAGCCGAGATCATGCCTTTGCACTCCAGCCGGGCAACAAGAGCGAAACTCCATCTCAAAAAAAAAAGTTTACCTAATAAATTATCATCTATGGTACTTTCAAAGGAATAAGTGCCTGTTTTCTTAGTAGGGCTGCAGGTTTCAATATGCTAATGTCTGTCTCTAAATATTTAAACTTCTACGTGGTTTACTTCCTTATTGCTTTCAGGTCTCCATTCAGAAGTCACCAAATTAAACAGGCCTTGCCTGATCACTCCGTGTAGATTACTCTTCCCATCTTCCCCACACTTCTCATCCTTTTTAATCTTTCTTCATGAAACGCTGAGTCACTTGACATAAATTTTGTGTTCTTCCTCACTGTTTTTCCTTTCTCCTCACTGGAAAATGAGGTCCGGGGGAGTGAGGGTCTTTGTCCCTCTCACCACCACTTTTTTTTTTTTTTTTTTTTTTTTAGATGGAGTCTTGCTCTGTCGCCAGGCTGCAGTGCAGTGGCACGATCTCAGCTCACTGCAACCTCCATCTCCTGGGTTCAAGCCATTCTCCTCCCTCAGCCTTCCCTGTAGTTGGGGCTACAGGCGCACCCCACCACGTCCAGCTAATTTTTGTATTTTTAGTAGAGACAGGGTTTCACCATGTTGGCCAGGATGGTCTCCATCTCTTGACCTCGTGATCCACCCGCCCTGGCCTCCCAAAGTGCTGGGATTGTAGGCGTGAGGCGTGAGCCACCGCACCCGGCCTCACCGCCACTTTCCTAAAACATCATCTCACCTTTCACAGGTTGGCCACAAGGGTTACCTATGATAGTCAATCAGATATTTGATTTGTAAACGCACTTTATGAATATTCATACAGTTGGTTTTGTTATTGATTGTATTTTAGAATAGGGAAGCTTGCTGTCTTGGGGACAAATTGAAGATCAGATGGGTAGTATGATCACTTTGGGTCCCAGAAGAAACAAAGAGCAGACTCACTTTTTCCTTTAGGACAGTTGGGAAGAGAGTTGATGCTGGGTGGGCTGTATTTTCTTTGAAGCCGAAGTTAGGTGGGGTAGGTTAGAGAACCGTGGAACGTAAGAGTGCAGTGGCGTGATCTCGGCTCTCTGCAACCCCCAACTCCTGGGTCCAAATGACCCTCCTGCCTCAGCTTCCTGAGTAGCTGGGACTACAGGTGCCCACCACCACACCCGGCTAATTTTTTTATTTTTTATTTTTGTGGAGACAGGGTTTTGCCATGTTACCCAGGCTGGTCTCAGACTCTTGGTCCCCCAAAGGGCTAGGATTCCAGGTGTGAGCCACTGTGCCTGGTCCAAGTAACAGTTCTTAAAAGAAACAACAGAGAAAACACAGGGGAGGAAATCATCAGTGAAGTCGTTCAAGAAAAAAATTCCCTGTAAAGAAGCATAGTAAGAAGTTTCCAGATTGAAAGGACCCACTTGACTTCCCAGTACAATAACATCGACATGAAAGTGACTAACTACAAGCTTCCAGAGGAGGAAGACAGGTCACATGGCAAAAAGATCAAGAATAAGAATAGCTTTGGACTTCTCAACAGCAGCACCAGAAGTAAGACAACTAAGCAATGCCTTACAGTTTCATAGACAACTGGCTTTGGGTCTATAATTCTATATACAGCTGAATTAACAACCATGTGTGTGGGTAAGAAAAAAAGACTTTGACCTTCGGACAGGCAAGGTCCGAAAATGAAGGAATAAAGAAAGAGGAAATAATAATATACAATAAATGGGATAAGGGCCTGCTCTTTTCATAACAGAACTTGTAGTACTACTCGATCCTTTCTCTGCAACTATGACTTTGATACATGCTGAAACTTAAAAGTAAGTGGGGAGGTGGGTCCAGTGGCTCATGCCTGTAATCCCAGCACTTTGGGACACCGAGGCGGGAGGAGGATCGCTTGAGCCCGGGAGTCTGAGACCAGCCTGTGAAACATAGTGAGACCCCACCTCTACCAAAAGTTTAAAACATTAGTTGGCTGTGGTAGCATGCACCTGTAATCCCAGCTACTCAGGAGGCTGAGATGCGAGGAGCACGTGAGCTTGGGAGGTAGAGGCTACAGTGAGCCATGATTTCGCCACTGCACTCCAACCTGTGCAACAGAGTGAGATCTTACATCTCAAAAAATAAGTAAGTTTAGGTGTAACAGATGGATAAAAGACTGAGAGGTGGGCATGGAGAGTGGTAAATCTTTCTTCTGTCTTCCCTTGGAAAGAGTTTAAGATTCGGAGTCAGAAAAATCAGGCTGGGCGCGGTAGCTCACGCCTGTAATCCCAGCACTTTGGGAGGCCAAGGAGGGCAGATCACTTGATGTCAGGAGGTTGAGAGCAGCATGGCCAACGTGGTGAAACCCTGTCTCTACTAAAAATATAAAAATTACCAGGCCTGGTGATGTATGCCTGTAATCCCAGCTACTCGGGAGGCTGAGGCACGAGGATCACTTGAACCCAGGAGGCGGAGGTTGCAGTGAGCTGAGATCGCGCCATTGCACTCCACCCTGGGCAACAGAGTGAGACTCTCTCAAAAAAAACAAAAAAGAAAAAAAAAAAAAGAAAAATCTGATGAAGAAGGGTGGCCTCTAAGTGCCTAGAACAGGCATGGCAGGAGCTTGGCTGTTGTGGCTGAGGGTGACTAGGACTGCTGTCACTTCCTTCCTGGCTAATCCCCGGGCCTCCCTGTTCACATTTCCACCTGCGGCAGTTCCCTCACATACTGAGACAGGCAGCGTTGATGGTAGATGAATTTTTTGCCGTTTAAGTACTTTGACTAGTGTCCTGTGGACGAATGTTTAATTCAGAAAAATAATTTTAGCCTGAACAAATCTCATTATCTTGCAGGGTGAACTTCTCACCTGAGGGCTGTAAAGACTCGTTTGAAAATGGAGAGCCAAGAACCAACGGAATCTTCTCAGAATGGCAAACAGTATATCATTTCAGAGGAGGTATAACTTGTTTTTCACTTTCCCTTCCCTCCCCCACATAAATCTGAGTTTAGCAGAAATATATAGACTGTTGTTACAATGGTGGTCTTTCATTCTTGAAGACAGTTGTAAAGATTTTTCCTACTCCCTTTTTTGGGCTCGGGCACATTTTGCTCTTGTGTGGGAGGAGTAGTGTGTCTCTCTGTGTATTAGTGAAATTGAGACTCTAGGAGATTTGGGCTCTTAACAGAAAAATTCTTAATCCTTCCTGTATTTCCCTAGATAGAAGAAGAAAGAATATATGCATTTGCGGACTCAGATATTTCATATGTAGTTGTCACAACTTGGCTGTTGATGGCCTAACATGAGTGTTTAAGAACAATAAAAACCTACGTTGTTAATTGTAGTCTAAATTCCAGTGAATTCTAGAACCAATGTATGTCTCTGTGTTATTCAATTTAGCTTTAAAAGTCTCTTCCTGCAGGAACCATTGCAGTGGATAAATTTTAAATCCTTCATCTTGGATCTCTGATCTTGACACCTTTCTGGAATTCCTTTTGGTTTAAAATCTTTCCATGTTGTCTGTGAACAGATCTGCTGAAAATGATTAGGTTGCTGCTGGCAAGAAGTGAAAGATAGGATAGTAGGAGAAAGGCTACTGCTTTATACGCAGTGACGCTTTCCTCTCAGTTCAGTATAGTGCCGTAGGTAAGTTAGTCTCCAACACCAGAACTCCCCAGTGTCTAGGCAGAACGAACCTGGGGTGTCCATCTGTGGTTGGGTGGGAAACCCACGTGTCATGATAGGAGATCCAATCCTGGATGGACCCTGTTTCCCCACAGTCCGCCTTCCTGTGTCATCACTGACAGGAAAAATACCAGTGTCTAGAAATGGCCATTTCTACATATGAAACTCACCTGTGTTGTATGCACCCAGGTCAGGGGACAGACCATCAGGAGCGTCCCAGGACACCCTCACCCCATGTGCTCCCTTCCAGTTACCTCCATGCCCCACCCCTTCCCCCAGCCCCCAGGAGTTTTTAGACTGTCATTTCTTTTCACCTGTTAACTACTACCACCAAGAAATTTCAAAAAGAAGCAGAAGTGCCCTTTAAAAAAACAACCCTGAATACCTACCTACTCTGAACTGAAAAACGTGCCCACAGATTATTGGGAAGGAAAGATGATTATTGGGAGTCTGGGGAAAGACAGAGGAAATGTGAAAGAAAAACCCTTTTAGATAAAAACAACTTGGTTTGAAAGTTTCCCAACTTATTATCTGATATCCTTTTAGTTAATTTCAGAAGGAAAATGGGTCAAGCTTGAAAAAACAACGTACATGGATCCTACTGGTAAAACTAGGTAAACTTTTTTTTTTTCTTACAAAATGTTCGTTATTTGGGTTCTCAGGTTATCTGTTGAGTGTTTTGCATAAACTTTGATGTTTTCTTTTTTGTAAACTCTGTTTTAAATAATCTGATTTAGCTGTTTTTCCAGTGTTAGGATGTTTGCATCATTTATAGTTGCTGAATAAAATTGGGTTGTAAATGTGTTACAATAACTAATCAGAAAACTATTTTAATACCATTCTCCCTAAGTAGACAAGTGTAGACCTAAAACTTTTGGGCCAAACCTAATTTAAGCTGATAAGGTGACAGAATAATTAACAGTACATGTTGCTTCCTTCTAGTAAAATCTGTTTTTAATTTCTAAATTAGAAGAAATAAAGAGAAAACAACAACATTGCTAATTTTGAGGTACGTGCCTGCCTCATGGAAATGCAAATTGGGAAAAAAACATTTTGTACACCCTATTTCATAATATGTGTCAGTAGCCCTAAAGATACTGTACCCTTTGACCGAGTAATCCCAGTTTTAACAAAGTGTTAAGGGCCAGGTGTGTTGGCTCACGCCTGTAATTCCAGCACTTTGGGAGGCCAAGGGTGGGGGCCGGGGCGGGGGGCATCGGTTGAGGTCAGGAGTTCAAGACCAGCCTAGGCAACATGGCGAAACCCCATCTCTGCTAAAAATACAAAAAATAGCTGGGCCTGGTGGCCCTGTAATCCCAGCTACTTGGGAGGCTGAGGCAGGAGAATTGCTTGAACCCGGGAGGCGGAAGTTGCAGTGAGCTGAGATCACACCACAGCACTCCAGCCTGGGTGACAGAGTGAGACTCTGTCTCAAAAAAACAAAAACAACAACAACAAAAAGAAAGTATTAAGTAAATTAGCATTCAGAATTAAATTTATGTATAGAAAATGTTCACCAAAATTTTAAAAGAAAAACTGAAAGCAACCTAAATATCTTAAAAATAGGAAATGAATTGTTATAGTGTATTCCCTTGGTAAAATCTCTGCAGCCGTCTAAAAAGCAGATTCTGAAGACAACCTAGCAATATGGGAAAAGCTCCTAAGTTGATAACAAAGTAGAAAAGTATGTATATGCTTTTCAAACTCTGCCAAATAACGTGTAAGAAAAAGCCGGAAGGAAAATTATAGCAAAATGGGAAAAAAGCTGTGTGGTTAACCTTTTTTCTTTTACTTTCCAGATTTTTGCATAGCAATCTTTTGATATTATAAACTATAAGAAGAAAATACTATGAAAATTAATTTTTTACTTAGTGAAATTTAAATGGAGTACAACAGAATGAGGATGAAATTTAGTAACCAGATCACGTGATAAAAATTCATCAGTATGAGAACTCCATTTGCAAAGTGATCCAATAAGAGTACATGATTTCTTTGTGATGAAATAGATCGTCAAGATGCAAATACATGGGCTTGCCAGTCATCTGAACAACTGTGATTATATCTACTAAACTAGCAAAGCCCTTAATAAGGCCTAATGTGGGAGAGCTGTAGGAAACATGTTAAGAGATAGATAGCACTGCTGAATTAAAACCCAGCAGTAAGAAAGCTAAGCACAGTATGATCCACCAACCATGAAAGACTGTAACTCTTCACTTAAGATGCCAAGTGAGTTTGATATGGAAAACTAAATGTACAAAATAAGTAGGGCCCAAACCCGATACAGAAATGTGGCAAGGCCCAAGTCTTAGGGAGCACCATATGTTCAAATGTATTTATATTTGTGAAACTATAGAGAGGTTGGAACCCAATGTATAGTGATACAGTTTGGTTCTCTTTTGCCTGTCAAATTAAGTTTATAACACAAAACATAGCCCTCAACTCTAATGAGTCTAAACATGTGTTTGAGGCCAAGCGCAGTGGCTCACGCCTGTAATCCCATTACTTTGGGAGGCCAAGGTGGGTGGATCACTTGAGGTCAAGAGTTCGAGACCAGCCTGGCCAACATTGTGAAACCCCGTCTCTACTAAAAATACAAAAATTAGCCCAGCGTGGTGGCATGCGCCTGTAATCCCAGCTACCCCGGAGGCTGAGACAGGAGAATTGCTTGAGCCCGGGAGGAGGTGGTTGCAGTGAGCCGAGACTGCACCACTGTACTCCAGCCTGGGCGACAGAGCGAGACTCCATCTCAAAAAATAAAAATAAAATAAAAAGATGTGTTCGCGCCAGCTCATCTCTTCGCCTGACTGGTCTTCTGCCCTTCCTGCATTTCCTAATCAGGGATGTACATCAGAATCATATGGGGACTTTTCTGAAAATACGACGAAATCTCACTTCAGAATATCTATTTCAGTAGATTGGGAGTAGGCTCTAAAATCCACCAAACTACCATATTTATAGCATGGTCATGTCCATTCTTCCATACATAGGGTTTTTTTCCTGGCCTCTGAAGAGGATTTATGTAAAGCACTAATATTTTATACCAGAATGTCACCCTTTGAAGAATGAGTCTTTGTACTTTCCTGTATGCCACGATGTATAATTTATAGGATGTGTTATCTCTGACCTGATATAAAAGCCTGCGTGTACAGGTTGAGCAGCCCTAATCTGAAAATCTGAAATTCAAAATGCTGCAAAATCCAAAACCTTTTCATTGCCAACATGATGCCCCAGCTGGAGAATTCCACACCTGACTCTGTGTGACAGGCTGCAGTCAGAACACAGGCATACAACACAGACATTCAGTGTCCCCCCAGGGGAAAAGGAACCCTCCCCTTCAGCTCAGCTATATCCTTCTTTTTTTTTTTTTTTACCCTGAGACAGAGTCTTGTTCTGTTGCCCAGGCTAGAGTGCAATGGTGTGGTCTCAGCTCACTGCAACCTCTACCTCCCTGGTTCTAGCAATTCTATCTCAGCCACTCGAGTAGCTGGGACTAGAGGTGCATGCCACTGGGCCTGGCTGATTTTTGTATTTTTAGTAGAGGCAGTGTTGTTGGCCAGGATGGTCTGAAACTCCTGACCTCAGGTGATCCACCCACCTTGGCCTCCCAAAGTGCTAGGACTACAGTCGTGAGCCACCGCATCCGGCCATATCCTTTTTTTTTAAATTTATTTAATTTTTATTTTTTTAGTAGAGACAGAGTCTCACTATGTTGCCCAGGCTGGTCTCGAACCCCTGAACTCAAGCAGTCCTCCTACCTTGGCCTCCCAAAGTGCTGGGGTTTCAGGCGTGAGCCACCACACCCGGCCCGATATATCCTTTGCACGCACACGGCGACTTCCCTCTGCAGGTACTCCCACAGAGGGTCATGAAATGGCATGTGTGCAGACCGGATGCCCAGCAGCAGTTCCCCACAACACCCTACACAGGGCTGAGACCTATGTGCATGACTCATTGTGGGGTTCTTTGGCTTATTTCCTGCTCTGTGGGGTAAAGATACTGTTCAAAATGTCAAAAAGGCCTGCATGACACCCAGAGGGTAAGGCAAATATTTCAAAATCTGAAAAACCAAACTCTGAAACACTTCCGGCCCCTCGTTTCGGGTAAGGAATACTCAACCTGTACAGCTGTCACTTGGTGTCTGTCGGGGTTGGTTCCAGGACCCCCTGCAGATACCAAAATCCACAGATGCTGAAGTCCCTGATATGAAAATGCAGATACTCAGTATGTATTTGCCTCTAACCTATGCACATCCTCCCACGCACTTCATCTCTAGAGTAATCACAGCACCTAATACAATGCAAATGCTGTGTCAACAGTCGTACTCTATTGTTTAGGGAATAATGGCAAGAAAAAGTGTGGACCTGTTCAGTATAGATGCAATTTTTTTCCTAAATATTTTCAATGGGTGGTTGGTTGAATCCATGAATGCAGAACCCACGGATATGAAGGGCCGAGTCTAAGAGATAAAATAGCAGCTAGAGAATCCTATGTTCCACCGTCTCATTCATGAAAGGGGATGTGGGGTTAATTTTAGAAATATAAAAATATTCCAGTAGTGTTGTGTCTATTGACATTCAAGACAGTGCCGAAGTCACCCTCTGACCCTCCCGCCTCTTGTGTTGGTGAACTAGAGGGAGGAAGGCCAACAGGCTTTTCCATAACAAAGAAGACTAGGAATAGGATGATCTCACTGGAAGCAGAATCCTAAAGCTAGAAGAGGTTTTGGAGAAAACATACTCATTCCTGCTTTTTACAAAGGAGGGAAGAGCCTCAGGGAGGCTGGAGCTCTGGGCTTAGCTGGCGGGCAAGTAGAGACGAAGAGCTGACTTCCAGTCAGCTGTGCATCTCACAGGCCCTTTGAAGTTGTTGGAGCTCTCACTGGGCAATCTTATTCCGAGATTTCTTATCAATGCGTTTCTGTTTTATTGCTGGTGATTTATGGCTCGTTACTGCTTGTTTCCTTCACCTTAACCACGATAATGATGCTCCTCTTTTTGTTTCCCTTATTCCTAGTGTTTGGGATGGGACCTTCAGTGCTTTTCCCAGCACTGTCTTCTTCAGTCTTTAGGACTAACCTTAGGAGGCAGCAGAGAGAGCTATGCCAAAAGGTGTTCATCTCTTGCAATCTGTATGATTTACTTACCAGCATTGCTTGTTGGTCAGCTCCTTGCTACTAACAGGAATGTTGGGCTGCTGTGAGTTGTCATAGAAGTCTGTTTGATTTTCCTGTGTTCATTTTGACATATTTGGCCTTCGGAATTTGGGTACAATGCTGAAAGACCTACAATTTCCAGACAGTCTTTTTGTTTTGTTTTTTAAAAAGCAAATTAAATATTTGAACAATTTTAATGAAAATATGACAAGGTCCAAATTTTAAGGACAGCCGGATAGGAAGCATGAGCAGGAGGGTTCCGAGGAGGATATCTTGCAGCTCTTACTATCGAGATGCAGGTGGTAACTCCTTTTTATCCCAAGCCCCAGAGCCACCCACATGTTTCACTTCCTTTAAAAGAGATCCTAAAATTGTTTGCTTCTCCACTCTGGTCTCTTACCACTGCTTTTTTCTGTTGTAGGGAGAAGAGAGTGAAGGGAGAATGTTCCTTTTATGCCTCGCCCCTTTAAACTGCATAATTGTGTCAGTAACTGGGTTTCCTGTACAACTGTGCCCCATGTTCCAAGGCCAGAAAGTAGAATAGCACAGATGTTACCCAAAAGCTGAGTTGGGTAACAGTCAGAAACCAATAGCTAACCAGGAATAAAGCCATACAAGAGAGCAGGACTGTGCTGTTACTCAGCCCACTTTTTCTAGATAAGATCTCACACATGCAAAGTAGGGGCACTTGCCTACATTTAATAATTCTTCCATTAATAAATGGGAAGGTTCTACCTTCTTAAATTGTGTGTTTTAGGTCACATATTTTAAAAATCAAAATGATATGAAAATCTCAATAGTTCACGTTGTCCATAGTAGCTTTTGTTCCTAGAGACGGGGTGAGTCTTTTCCTATGGCTTCATTTGCATTACCTGCTTATTAATCTGTCACTGGCTGTGCTCCTTGCCCAGAGACATAGGATCCAAACTAAAGTTTTCTGAGAAAGCGGCAGCTCACATGCTTAGCAGGCTTTCTGTTTCGGGGGCACCCAGAAGGTGAGGTGTAGGGTGGCAAGAGTTTTCGTTGTTAATTTTCAGAAGCTATAGGAAAGCAGAATTAGCTTCTTTAATGCAGACGTTTATTGCTGTGGTCTTCTTGACCAGTATCATGAGTACATTTGCATGCATTGCATTTAAGAAGTTCTGGTTGTACAGAGAAAACCTAAGAAAATTCTCTTCTGTAGCACTAATGACTTTTTTTTCTTCTCTGCCTGAACAGAACTTGGGAATCAGTGAAACGTACAACCAGGAAAGAGCAGACTGCGGATGGTAGGAGTGCAAACCTATTCCAACCCTTTAGAAAGGAAGTTAGCACTTGTGATCGTAAGAGGGTTTTCAATGGAACCAAGTTAACTTCTATTAGGATGTTGTGTCTTTAAATCTCCGCTTAGGTTTTGCCATACTATGTAACGAAATTAAGCTTTCTTTATAAGTAACTTCTGGCTTCTGTTATCTAAGCCCAAAACATTGTTTTTGAGGGGAAGTTGTTCTAATGTTTATAACTAAATGTAAATCAATATAGTTTGAAGCCACACCTGTGTCTAGACGTGTTATGACTTCTAGAAGTCCTTGTGTCCTGTTGGAAGGATCTAGATGAGAGGCTTTAGTTTGGAAAGTTACTTGGCACACCTTCATGCTTATGGACCACTTGCTTTACAGGTTGATGAGGACACGGAATTAATTGGGCAAAGCCTATTCCATTCACCCTCCCCTCCAGGCATGAATGCCTTGACTGCAAAGAGCCTACAAACAATCCTGAGAATCACTCTGGTCGAGGGGAAGTTGGGCACTAGGCTTTTCTTATTTTTCCATTTAGTTTTGGTTTCCATTTTTGCTGGAAGCAAACAGTAGCTATGCTGCTGCTGCTGGCTTCACAGATAGGAAGCTGTGGGGAGCCAGGGGACCCTCCTGGGTGCTTTGTGTTTTCTGAAACCCAGTCGTTTTTGTTTTTCTTAGGTTTTAATGAAGGCCAAGTAACTTGAGAGGAAAGGTCTTTTACCCTAAAACTGGAAAATCAGTCTTGCTAGCATTTATTGCAGACAGTGGAACTTACTTGATTTCTTGCTCAAAGTTGACCCAGGAGCACAGGGATGGCTGTGGCCTCACCAGTGGTAGGGCTGCCACACGCTGGAAAGTGGTTCTGTGGAAGGTCAGTGTAGTCAGAAACCTTACATCCTTGACCCTGTAGGAAATGTTTCGTTTTATTCCGATTTTAGTTTAAGAAACTGTGACAATTAAACAGCCTTTTTGTTTAAAAAAGAAAGTGTAAACAACATGGAAGTGATGATTTTTAATTACATTTTTAAAATAGCTTCCAATATTAACTGCCAGTATTGTAGATTAAAACGGAGTTTCTTAAAGTCTGGGGTTTTCATTAGCTTGCTCTAAACAATGTGCTGGCATTGCTGACCTCTCATTAGGGATTTCCTTGGTTCCATTTCCTGGTGACAGGTGTCGCGGTCATCCCCGTGCTGCAGAGAACACTTCACTATGAGTGTATCGTTCTGGTGAAACAGTTCCGACCACCAATGGGGGGCTACTGCATAGAGTTCCCTGCAGGTGAGTCACTCAACATCGAATTGCTTCTTAGGGATGTTGGCCTGAACCAGGGTAAAGCCTGAGAACTGCAAAGCTCAGCTCTGCAGTTTTTAATCTGTCCTTGTGGTTTTAAGTAAAACTAAACCATTTCGTAGCGAGGCTCCTCCAGGCCCCCAGGACACCCCAACAACCCTCTGAACCCGTGAAGGCGACACAAGGCCACCTCCCACCCATCCCAACCTCCTCTTGGCAATGCTGCCTCCAGCCTTTTTTGTTTGTTTTTGTTTTGTTTTGTGAGACGGAGTCTCGCTCTATCACCCAGGCTGGAGTGCAGTGGCACGATCTCGGCTCACTGCAACCTCCGCCTCCTGGGTTCAAGCAATTCTCCTGCTTCAGCCTCCCGAGTGGCTGGGACTACAGGCGCCCGCCACCACGCCCGGCTAATTTTTTGTATTTTTAGTAGAGACAGGGTTTCACCGTGTTGGCCAGGATGGTCTCGATCTCCTGACCTTGTGATCTGCCTGCCTTGGCCTCGCAAAGTGCTGGGATTACAGGCGTGAGCCCTTGCACCCTGCCGTCTCCAGCCTTTTGAGTAATTGCCCTTCCCCTTCTCAGCTTATTTGATTGTTTGTCATTAGCCATCTGCTAATGGAAATTTCCAATGATAAGTAGGCCAGGCTTTTTTTTTTTTTGAGATGGAGTCTCATTCTGTCACCCAGGCTGGAGTGCGGTGGCGTGATCTCGGCTCACTGCAACCTCCGCCTCCTGGGTTCAAGCGATTCTCCTGCCTCAGCCTCCTGAGTAGCTGGGATTACAGGCGTGTGTCACCACACGTGGCTAATATTTGTATTTTTTGTAGAGACAGGGTTTCACTGTGTTGCCCAGGCTGATCTCAAACTCCTGACCTCAGGTGATCCACCCACTTTGGCCCCCCAAAGTGTTGGAATTACAGGTGTGAGCCACCACGCCCAGCCTAGGCCAGGCTCTTAACTCCAAGAAATGTGAATGGAGAAGACGGTTTGCTCTGCTGTGCGGAAACAGGCCAAGGAGACTCTTCATTTCAACTAGAATATTTTTCTTGCACAGTAATTAAAGCTCTCCAAAATTTATTGCCCTATATTATTGTAGGACTTTATTGGATTGTTCCCATCTAAAGAGATTAAATCTCATCTATTTGTTATTAGTGGTATACGTTTTATTATTATTATTTGAGACGGAGTCCTGCTCTGTTGCCCAGGCTGGAGTGCAGTGGCACGATCTCAGCTCACTGCAGCCTCCACCTCCCGGGTTCAAGTGATTCTCCTGCCTCAGCTTCCTGAGTAGCTGGGATTATAGGCATGAGCCACCACACCCGGCTAATTTTTGTATTTTTAGTAGAGATGGGCTCTCACCATGTTCACCAGATTGGTCTCGAACTCCTGACCTCAGGTGATCCACCCACCTTGGCCTCTCAAAGTGCTGGGATTACAGGCCTAAACTACCACACCCAGCCAAAGTTTTATATTTTAAAAGGCTAGCTGCTGGTAACACATGGTTAACAACTATGATTTTTCTCATTTCCTCACCATTTTACTGAAGGCTATTTAATTACCTTTTTTTTTATTTTTTTATTTTTTGAAATAGAGTTTTGCTCTTGTTGCCCAGGCTGGAGTGCAATGGCAGGATCTCAGCTCACTGCAACCTCCGCCTCCCGGGTTCAAGTGATTCTCCTGCCTCAGCCTCCTGAGTAGCTGGGATTACAGGCATGTGCCACCACACCCGGCTAATTTTGTATTCTCAGTAGAGACGGGGTTTCTCCATGTTGGTCAGGCTGGTCTCGGCCTCCCAAAGTGCTGGGATTACAGGCGTGAGCCACCACGCCTGGCCAGGCTATTTAATTACTTTTAATATTAACGTGAATAAATTCTTCTCTCACTTTTTCTTTTTTCTTTGAGATGGGGTCTCTGTTGCTGAGGCTGGTGTGCTCCGGCACCATCACAGCCCATTGCAGCCTCAACCTCCCCAGGCTGAGGTGATCCTCCCACCTCATTTTTTGTATTTTTTTGTAGAGATGGGGTTTTGCCATGTTGCCCAGGCTGATCTCTAACTCCTTGGCTCAAGTGATCTGCCCGCCTTAGCTTCCCAAAGTGCTAAGATTACAGGTGTGAGCCGCCATGCCCGGGCTCTTTTTTTGAGACTATGTCTAGCTCTGTTGCCCATGTTGGAGTGCAGTGGCACAATCACAGCTCACTGCAGCCTTGACCTTCTGGGCTCAAGTGATCCTCCTGCCTTGGCTTCCTGGGTAGCTGGGTCTGCAGGCGTGCATCACCGCATTCGATTTTTAAATTTTTTGTAGAGATGGGGTTTTGCTTTGTCACCCAGGCTGGCCCCAAACTCCTGGCCTCAAGTGATCCTCCTGCCTCAGCCTCCCAAAGTGTTGGGATTACAGGCGTGAGCCACCACACCCAGCCTGAGTTTTTCATTATTTTATTTTATTTTATTTATTTATTTTTTGAGATGCAGTTTCACTTTTGTTGCCCAAGCTAGAGTGCAGTGGCACGATTTCAGCTCACTGCAACCTCCGCCTAACAGGGTCAAGCGATTCTCCTGCCTCAGCCTCCCGCGTAGCTGGAATACAGGTGCGTACCACCACACCTGGCTAATTTTTTGTATTTTTAGTGGAGACAGGGTTTCACCATGTTGGCCAGGCTGGTCTCGAACCCCTGACCTCAGGTGATCTGCCCGCCTCGGCCTCCCAAAGTGCTGGGGTTACAGGTGTGGGCCGCCACGCCCAGCCTTATTATATTTTTTAATTCCTTTCAGGAAAAAGAGTCTGCGTTGCTGCTCCCTTCCTCTTCCTTGGCCTCTCTGTTCACTCCTCACAGTGGCCATGGGAGTCCCCTAATGGCCACCAGTTTGCTCCTTTCTGGCCTTTCATTCCCAGGCCTCGGTGTTTTACTATGAGGGAGGAAGACAAGACAGGTGATGCTGTCAGCATCCTACGTGTGAGGAAGCAGAATATGAGCAGGCTTCCTGTGCTGCAGCCACACAGCAAGCTCCCAAGCCTAAGCCAGTTGGTCACCACCAAGTCACATCTCCTCACAGATGCTGCCCGTGCTGTGCAGAGCAGCGTGGAGATGGTCGTGAAGGCTCATGATGGATCTGGGTCTGAATAGGACGACTGGATGATGCCTTCAGAACCTGATTCATCTGCTCAGAGTTTTATTCTTTCGCCTTTTTGTTTCTATAAAAATTCCAAGCTGGGCACAGTGGCTCATGCCTGTAATCCCAGCACTTTGGGAGGCTGAGGCGGGTGAATCACTTGAGGCCAGGAGTTCGAAAGCAGCCTGGCCAACATGGTGAGACTAAATACAAATTAGCCTCTACTACAAATACAAAAATTAGCCGAGCATGGTGGTGTGTACCTGTGGTCCCAGATACTCAGGAGGCTGAGGCAGGAGAATCGTTTAAACCCAGGAGGCAGAGGTTGCAGTGAGCCAAGATCACACCACTGCACTCCAGCCTGGGCAACAGTGTGAGACTCCCATCTTCAAAAAAAAAAAAAAAAAGAGTTCCAATCCTCAGGTTTCTCTGTAAGACCACTTTTCACAGTGCTCCGATTCTCCTAACGTAGTGCAGCAGCAGGTGTGTTACAAGAATGAGGGGTTCAGCCGGGCGCAGTGGCTCACACCTGTAATCCCAGCACTTTGGGAGGCTGACGTGGGTGGATCATGAGATCAAGAATTCAAGACCAGCCTGGCTAAGATGGTGAAACCCCATCTCTACTAAAAATACAAAAAATTAGCTGGGCGTGGTGGCACGCGCCTGTAATCCCAGCTACTCTGGAGGCTGAAGCAGAGAATTGCTTAAACCTGGACGGGCGGAGGTTGCAGTGGGCCGAGATCGCACCACTGCACTCCAGCCTGGGCGACAGAGTGAGACTCCATCTCAAAAAAAAAAAAAGGAGGGTTTAAAGAACCGGATTTCCCGCTCCCATCACACCAATGATTTGGACTTGCAGGTCTCATAGATGATGGTGAAACCCCAGAAGCAGCTGCTCTCCGGGAGCTTGAAGAAGAAACTGGCTACAAAGGGGACATTGCCGAATGTTCTCCAGGTTGGTATTGCTTGAAAATTCACCAAGTGATGGATTCCTCCGTCTGGGAAGGGATTGATTATTTGGGTGTTCTTTACGCTCAGAATTCACTGAAGAGAAAGAAATCACAGATTAGGACTGGTCACCAAGTGTAAGGGAATCTCCCCTCCCAGGAGGAAACTGGAGCCAGAAGGGCCTGAAGTTGGGGGAGAATTAATGAAATTAAATTGCCTTTTGGCTGGATGTGGTGGCTCATGCCTGTAATCCCAGCACTTTGGGAGGCCGAGGCAGGTGGATCACCTGAGGTCAGGAGTTCGAGACCAGCCTGACCAACATGGTGAAACCCATCTCTACTAAAAATACAAAAATTAGCCGGGTGGCGCACACCTGTGATCCCAGCTACTCGGGAGGCTGAGGCAGGAGAATTGAACCCAGGAGGCAGAGGTTGCAGTGAGCCAAGATCACGCCAGTGCACTCCATCCTGGGCAATAAGAGCAAAGTGAAACTCTGTCTCAAAAAATCAATTGCCTTTAGGAATTTCCTACCCCCTGAGTTTTATTGCTCACCCATCTCATGCATGTGCTACCCTCATCACTGGAAGATTTTTTTGAGTTTGATGTGGTGAAGGGATTTTATGACTTGACAGTACCATCTAACCCCGCAGACCTAGCAAGCTTGACTCGAGAGCTCTGGGGAGAGTGTGAGTGCCCAGATGCTTTGCAGCCTGCAGATCTGCCTACCAAATGTGAGAACTAGTTTTCCCGCATCACCTCCACGTCAATGCTGAGCTGCGGGACGCATCTTCTTCCTAAGACCATAGTGAAACAAATGCCAAAGGGACTGACGCATCTGACTGTCCCTTCTCTCCACAGCGGTCTGTATGGACCCAGGCTTGTCAAACTGTACTATACACATCGTGACAGTCACCATTAACGGAGATGATGCCGAAAACGCAAGGCCGAAGCCAAAGCCAGGTATGTGTGTGTCGGCTGTGATGAAGGTGGTGTGGTTGCATTACGTGTCTTGGAACTTGCTGCTAGTTTGATTTATTAAAAGAATGTAGTCTTTCATGGAAAGAATCGGTCTTTCAAATAGACTTCATCAGTATTCTTGTCTCTCTTCCTAATCATGTATTTTAGCATTTTTCTTTTGCCACTTCATTCATCTTTACGCTTTCTTTGTAAAAAAATGTTAAATGACATATTTCCCTGTTTTCTATATGAAGTGTATTCCCACTTAGTAATATGAGCTGCAGGCTTAAGTAGTAAACAGTGAGAAACTTAAATCACCCTGGTTTCTGTCTTCATGTATATTTTAAGAATGGCCTAAGTTCCCCTGTAGTCCCAGCTGCTCTGGAAGGTGAGGCAGGAGGATCACTTAAGCCCAGGAGTTGGAGGAGCTATGATGGTGCCACTCTGTGACAGAATGAGACCATGTCTCTCTTAAAAAAAAAAAAATGGCCTAAGTAATTGTTAACGGGCAGCAGATTATTCACTATTTCTCTTTGCTCTATAATATTTCTTAGCAACTTTGGATTCAAAAGCTGTGATGTCTCTGTCAATTCCGTGTTGTCTCTCCCATCCTTTTAAAGGGGGTATTTATATGTGCACCACAGTAAATCAGTATCAGTGATATTCTTTAACTTCTTACCCTCTTCAGTTGTTCATATTTATGTTTCAGTATCCCACTGCAACTAATTTTAAGTCTTATTTTTTGCCGGGCGTGGTGGCTCATGCCTGTAATCCCAGCACTTTGGAAGGTTGAGGTGGGTGGATCACTTGAGGTCAGGAGCTCGAGATCAGCCTGGCCAACATGGTGAAACCCTGACTCTACTAAAAATACAAAAATTAGCCAGGCATGGTGGTGCGCACCTGTAATCCCAGCTACTCGGGAAGCTGAGACACAAGAATCACTTGAACCCAGGAGGCGGAGGTTGCAGTGAGTCAAGATCACACCACTGCACTCCAGCCCGGGCAACAGACTGAGACCCTGTCTCCAAAAAATAAATAAATAAATAAATAAATAAATAAATAAATAAATAAATAAATAAAATAAATCTTAATTTTTGAACTGCACATATACATATGAGACACTGTGGAAAAGTTTGGCAGTTCCTCAGCATATTAGATACAGAATTATTATATGATCTGGCATTTCATCTCCTAAGTCTACACCCAGAAGAAGTGAAACAGGGACTCATATACTTGCGTGCCTGTGTTCATGGCCGCCTCTGTGGAAACAACCCAGGTGTCTGCCAGCAGATGAATGCATCCACAAAGTGTGGTATACACACAAACACACATACACGCTGAAACATGCGATAACATGATGGGCAAATACTCTGATTCTACGTATCTGGGTGCCCAGAATAGACAAACTGATAGAGGAAGACAGTAGAGTAAGCGCTACTAGGGATGGGGAATTAGTGTTGAGTGGATCCCGAGTTTCTGTTGGGTGTCATGAAAAGTTCTGGAGATGGATACTGGTGGTGGTTGTGCACCTTTTTGAATGTTATTTAATGCTACTGAATTGTACCTTCATAGTGGTTAAAAGGTAAGTTTTTATATGTTCTGTATATTTTACATAATACGCAGATTCATATCTATAAAAATATACATACTATCGAATATGCTTTAAATTTTGCTACTTAACATTATGTGGAGAACAATAACTTCATACTGCTCGAGTTTGACAATGTATATAAATTAAGTTAGCAGAAACCCAGGCTTCTGTGAAATTCTCAAAGCCTTTTTGACGCCTCTTGTATAAAAGTCTTCCGATGTTACCACTCCAGGCCTTGCTGAAATGTTTTCCTTCTGTTTATTTCCAGGGGATGGAGGTATGTTCTGCAACTCCTGGTGGCCGAGCGTGTATGACTTAGTGTAGTGGTGATGGCTGCAGACATTTTGGGTTGTTTTGGTAGGCTCTTGACGTTAGCTTTGTTTTCACTTGCACTTTGTCTGTTTAGAGTTTGTGGAAGTCATTTCTTTACCCAAGAATGACCTGCTGCAGAGACTTGATGGTAAGCATTCTCCAGACCGCCACCCAGTTTCTCCAGTTCTCCCCGTCCCCATCCCAGCAAACTGGGTACTAAATATAACTCCATTTCTTTATCTTTTTTGTATCACTAAAGTCAAATGCCTAGCAACTTGTAAAACTGCAGGTGACCACTACTAATTTTCCTTTCTGGGTGGCACAGAGTTTGAAAATAAGAGCAAAGCATTCTGGGTCAAGTGCAAACTTTTGGTAGAGGCTTTTTCTCCTACAGAATGGCCCAGATGACATTCCTGCTGAGTAGCCAAAACGATTCTACACTTTAAACCTTCAGTCCATAGCAATGCAAAGGTGTGGGTAGATAAGCTGTTAGCTTTTCCTCAAGTATGCTAGTATGAGGGATGGTCCTTTGTGGAGGCTGTATGTTCAAGGAGAAATTGATGATGCTCCTTCAACAAATACTTGAGGTATTTCCTGTATACTCCGTGTGATATGCTTTTCACATAATAAACCAAACCAGCTGTGTGGCCCTTAGAAATCACTGGTCATGTAGATGCATTGTATAATTCTTGGCCACCCATCTTTTAGAGACTTTGTAAACAGTAAGCTTATGGGGAGAAAAGTCCTTTGATAAAACCACGAGAGGAGATACTGTATGGAGACATGAGGAGATACTGTGTGGAGACGAGGAGATACTGTATGGAGACATACCATGGGCCCTTCAAGGAGCACCTCTGTATGGGCTGGCAAATCCCTTTCACTCATCTAGAAAGAAGCAGACACTTGTCATCATGGGAATATTTTATTGGGTATAAGTGTTTTAGGTAATTGATAACTGATTTTTCTACTGTTTTTAAGTGATTACTTCAAATGTGATTTGAAGCATTGTTTGGCCTGAAGCTTTAAGACCAGTTTCTTAAGCTTTTCCCTGAGTTTCAGCAGCTTACGGTTTCAGTGAATAAGCAGAGCGCCTGGTTTTGAATTGTCTGTTGTTTGTTTGAAAATCTGAATGTGTCTTTCAAAGGCTGCTGTGATTTCTTTGGATAAAATCAGATTTCGTATCCCTTAGAGAGCTTCCACTCCTGCTTCACCTTTCCAAAAACTAGACCTAAGGTAGAAGCCACCTCGACAGCTCAAAGCCAGAGTTAGAACAATCATACTGAATAGATACAATAGTTTATCTGGTGCGTATTTGGAGAAAGGCATGACAATCAATACGAGGCAGCGCAGCTCGGAGTCACAGGCCCGACTCGGTTTGAGGCTCCGCGGACCATAATTAGCTATCACATCAAACAGGTTCTGTAGCCTCTCTCGGCTTTTTTCATAAAACAGGAACAATAACAGCCCCTCCCTCTGAGGAGGTGCGTGGAAAGCAGGGTGACGTAGGCAAGTGTGAAATGCCGTGCGGGGTTATCTTTTAGTAGAAGAGTATCCTTTTTGTAAAATGTCTTCCTTCTCCCTTCCACCTTCTTAACTTCACTTTTGGTCTTAGAAAAGGGAGAAAAAAATAGAATAAGTGAGGGGAGGTGGAGAGAGGGCTACTATGGCTATAAAGG
Organism: Homo sapiens; assembly: GCF_000001405.40. NCBI lineage: Eukaryota > Metazoa > Chordata > Mammalia > Primates > Hominidae > Homo > Homo sapiens. The sequence continues at coordinate 12,169,188 of NC_000010.11, read as the reverse complement.
AGGAGGGGTAAAAGAACCAAGTTGCCTAGCTTTAGCAGAATCAAAATACAGTAATCAAACCGTTTATTCAACCAGCAACATTTGAGAAGTCGGAAGGAAAGTATTACATTTTAAGATCAGTTTGCTGGCCGGGTGCGGTGGCTCACGCCTGTAATCCCAGCACTTTGGGAGGCCGAGGTAGGCTGATCACTTGAGGTCAGGAGCTCCAGACCAGCCTGGCCAACATAGTAAAACCCCATCTCTACTAAAAATACAAAAATTAGCCAGGCATGGTGGTACATGCCGGTAGTCCCAGCTACTCAGGAGGCTGGGGCAGGAGAATCGCTTGAACCCGGGAGGCGCAGGTTGCAGTGAGCCAAGATCGTGGCACTGCACTGCAGCCTGGCGACAAAGTGAGACTCCATCTCAAAAACATAAAAAAAAAATTAAAAAAAGATCAGTTTGCTACAAAGAGTAGCATCTGCCAGTTACCAAGCACCTGCTGTGCCCAGGTGAGTAGGACATGCTTCCTGCCTGCAAATGTCCCCAGGCTTGTTCCCAAACAAGCGGCTAGGAAAACAAGAGGCTGATTTTACATCTGGCAACCTCCATCTGAGTGAAACAAATTTTAATGAAAGCCTGTGGTAATAAGGTCCTGAGACCGCATTCTTGGTAGTAGATCTCCAGTCCTAACATGCACACAGTTTAACTTGCCGGGGGAACATATGTATCCCCTAGCAGCAGAAAAGATGGAATCCCTAAGATCCTACATAATCATCACCATCTGGTTTCAGAAAAGCAAAGCCCTACCCCAGCTATAAATGAGGTATAGCGATTGGCTCTATACACTTCCAACTTTGCTGTTTTCACACATAAAATCATCCCTGGCTGGGTGCGGTAGCTCACGCCTGTAATCCCAGCACTTTGGGAGGCTGAGGCGGGTGGATCACGAGGTCAGGAGATCGAAACCATCCTGGCCAACATGGCAAAAACCCCGTCTCTACTAAAAATACAAAAATTAGCTGGGCGTGGTGGCGTGCGCCTATAGTCCCAGCTACTGGGGAGGCTGAGGCAGGAGAATCGCTTAAACCCAGGAGGCAGAGGTTGCAGTGAGCCGAGATCACGCCATTGCCCTCTAGCTTGGGCAACAGAGCGAGACTGTCTCACCAAAAAAAAAAAAAATCATTATCCCTGATGTTCTTGTCTCATGCTAGGAATGTAATCTTGCCTTTATAGTCTTTATTCTTTAAGATCCTTATAGACCAAAAAAAACGTTATCACCAGCATCTAGCATAGGAAGTGACATATAGTAGTACCTGCTGCGCAAACACTGATTGAATAAGATGTTTTGTCCTTCCTTAACGGCATGATCTAAGTTGTTTTCTTTGCTTTCCACAGCTCTGGTAGCTGAAGAACATCTCACAGTGGACGCCAGGGTCTATTCCTACGCTCTAGCACTGAAACATGCAAATGCAAAGCCATTTGAAGTGCCCTTCTTGAAATTTTAAGCCCAAATATGACACTGGCCATTTTTGTAAACGAGACCACCAGGCCTTCTTCACTAAGACTTTGTATTCAACTTAGTTTAATGTAGATTTGCCATTAGCTTTTTCGTAAAATAAAAGCACAGAACAGATGTGGTGGTGGTATGGAATTGTAATTACAGGTAGGTTGTGACCTTCCTTTAAATTTGTTATAACTCCAGCTAAAATTAACAAAGAATATAAATGCAAGTATGTTTACTCCAATTTTTTTAAAGCTCAACAGCAGTTAACTACAGCTCAGTTACTTTTCTAGTCCAGTCTGGTAGACAGGGGTATTTGTATAGAGAAATAGACCTGAGTTCTCAATTAGGTCATTTCCACTCTCAACCCCCAATATAAAATTCTAAGCTGGGTATGCAAATAACCATGTACTCCGTTAGTGTTTAAAACAGCGTTAAAAAGAAAAAAAAGGCTTTTTGGCCTCTTCTAATTGAATTTTTACTATGCAAAATTTATCTAGGGTAGTTGAATCCAACTAGGGTAGGGTTCGATAGAATCCTCTACTAGTTTTCAGTTCATCTATTTACTGAGGCTGAACCAGCTTTTAAGTAAGGAAAACGGTTGACTCCATTCACTACACCAAGGCTAGGAGACTAATGAAAATTCAGGTCCATCCCGCAAGCATCTGCACGTGCTTGAGGATCTCTTTTCCTATTCTTACCTCAAAGAGTACTTGAAGTTTCTGAAAACAAATCTGTAAGACTGACATGTTTGGGGCAGTAATATCTTGATGTTAAACCATGAACAGAACCAGCAAGATCAGCCAGTACCTGAAACCCAATACAGAGTAGTTCACAGCAAGAAGTACAGATTGATCTGGTTCCCATGCCTGAAACCCTGTCATCTAGCAGTTCTACCAGTGTTCCTGGGCCATTTTCTTAGCTTCTTGAGTGAGTTTAGCTCTTTTTGTGTTGACTTTTAGGGCCTCCAGCAGCTCCATGATTTTCCAGGACTTTCCAGTCTGGCCCCCACGGAATTCTCAGGATGATTCTCATCCAGCCCTAAGTCATGTTTCTAGCCTGGCTCCAGCGGGTAAGCCAGGCCCTGAGAACCATATGAAAGGGCTCTCCAGATAAAATCAGAGTGCTAATGCCAGAATGCTGCAGTAGCCTCCGTTTGTCCACAGGCTCACTGTCTGAGCCCAGGATATTTTTATGAGTGAAACTGTAAGATCTTTACACTGGACTTCCTAAAGATAAAACAATTATGGAAATACAGAACTTTACAGATGAAGCTGTCTAGCCCTATACATGTGAAAATTAAGATCCAACTACTTCCTGTAATGGTAGCCTTCCCCTATGCCTCTAACCCTTTTTTAAATCCTGATTTCAATCACAGGCATTGTGATTCTCCAAAGCTCTAACTCTTCCTTAGGTCTGAAAGCCACATGCTATCAATCATTGAAATCAAGAGAGAAGGCATCCGTAGACGGGCGCAGCCCAGTCTTTCCACATAGCCCAGTTCCTCCCCAGCCACTCCCCATGGGAATGACCTCTGCAGCTGACCTAAGCTTATCCTCTCCTTCTTCCTAAGAGTGCAACTTAGAAGTCAGAGCCAAATCCTAGAATGTATCCCTAAATGCCATTTCTATTTTTTATAAACATGAAAAGGTTGTGCTTTGGAAATTCAGTCTGTTTGAGAACTGGCAGTCTGGCTGGCACTGTTTAAAAATGTTTATTTGCCCTGCATTTAAAAACTGAAGGTTTCCTATGTATTAAAAGCCATATTTCCACCTTCTTAAGGGAAAAAAAAATCGGACGTCATAACACTGGGTGGATGTTTTTATGGTAACAGTGGTCTGAGGCCCTTGGCGGATGCTCACCGAGCCACTGTCACTATCCTGCCTGCCTTTATCTGCCTTGCCCTGCGATTATTTGGCTTTGTAAGCATAAGCTACGTAAGACATACCACACCTAAGAAACTAAACAGCAATGAAAACCCATACTTCTGAAAAGGGTGTCTTTTAAAAATTAAGTTTGATCTTTTGGGAAATAAAGCACATAGTTTTCAAAATGATTTACCAAGATCTATGCTCTTTCAAATGGAGACTGGGATATTGTTGTTTTGAGACCACTGTTTTCCTGTTTCCTCCCAAATGTTAGTCACATATATGATTACCCTTAAGTTGGTCACTATCTATCTATCTGTCAATAATTTAGGATTAAAGTTTGAAGTGTAATTACATTTGACTTTTACAGGCATCTCAGGGTGGACTTCTTATGAATACACTGAACCTATACAAATGATCTTAGAAAACGTTTAATATCAGATTTCTTTATTTTTTCCAACACAACTGAATCAGTTTTCTTAAATAAAAGTTTATTGTCTACTGTTTACACTCATGTTGCTGCTGTGAGTACAACAACAGACACAAATTCCTAGCATGAATATATTCATTGTTCACCCCCACTGAACTACAGACATTGCTTGAGAATTAGATCTTTGCTTTAGGGATTTAAACAGAAAAGAATCGGGGCCCAGAATCTTGAAAGAATATTCTCAAGTGACTGGTTGGAGTTAGAAGGCATAGCCAATACAGGCAAACAGCACGATGATGCTGTCACTGGGAAGAGAGGAGGAGGAGAAGGAAAAGGAGGAAGAGGAAGAGGAGGAGGAGAAGGAGGAGGCCTTAGAAGCAGTTGTGGCAGAAATAACTGGAGACTTGATTTCGCCCATGTGGGCTAAGTGGCTGCTTTGAGAAGGGACAAATAAAAATGAGGTGGGGGTGGGGAGTGGGGATACCATGAGTTAAAAAAGTATAAAAAGTAATTATCTAAAATATAGATTAGATATAAATGTTCCAGAACTCATTAAATAAGCTCAAAAATACTGGAAAGTGGCAATTTGAACTACATTTATTTTTCAACAAGTGGGGGCAATATGAAGTGTTTTGAATGTTGTGTGCAAAACGAATCCATCTCACCGTCTCACTGTCATGATTTAACACAGCAAGGTAGATACACTGGTTTCCAGCATTACAGGCAACACTAGATGTACTTTTTTTAATGAATAATGTAAACTTGAGTTTTAAGGCAGCGGGTACTAATGCTGCACACAGACTTAGCTCGGTGCCCATTTCAGAAACGGGTCAGTCAGCACTCGAAACAAGAAACTGTGAGGGGAGAAAAGGGGAGCCACCAGTGTCATCTGACAAAAACGATCCGTCAAAGTGTTTTCCCTTTCACACGCACAAAATGAAATATTTGAACATTTAGAAAAACAAAGCACCCATCCCACCAACTTCGGCCTGTTCTTTAACAAATATTTCAAAATACTGGTAAATAATAGTGACTGCTAGCAGAATTCCAGTGCCAGATCCAATGGCCCCCAGGAAGTCAGCCAGCACTGACAGGGCGCCAATGCACAAACCGCCAAACGCAGCTGCGGTGGGGATGTACCTAGGAGACAGAACCCCAAGTTAGGCGGCAGCAGAGACCAGGAACAGCACGGCAGCTAGAGACGAAGACAGGTCGAGGCGCAGCAGCCATAGCTGGGTCTAAAGCCTCCCTGAACTCCAGAGGGAACAGGCTGCAGTGTGGAGGGGTGTGCAGGGCACGGCATGGGAACAGGAGCTCTGATCCAGGCAAAGACTCTGACCCTAATTTCCAGGAACCAGTCAACAGCCAAGAAAGACAATATGTAATCTTACAGGACATGAGATTCCTGGACAGATTTAAATATTAAAATGTTTAAGATTTTTAAATGAGTAACCTTTCGTTCCCTCTTGTGGAATGAAGAGTAGGTATGAACAAATTTATGTCATAAGATTTTGAGGATCCATTTCAGTAATTCAACCTTTGGCTGCACATTAGAATCACCTGGAAAACTGAAAAATGGGATTTAAAATACTCAAAAAAGATTAGAGGCAGTGATAGGTGAAACAAGAACAGCAAGATGGTGACAACTGGAGCTGGAGATCCATCATACTACTCTGCAGTCTGTGTTCTAAATAAATAAAAAGTTTAAGGAAAAATACTAGTGCCTTTTCAACAAATGATGCTGGGACAACAGGATGCCCCCAAGCAAAAGAAGGAATCTGGATCCCACCAGGCATGGTGGCTCATGCCTGTAATCCCAACACTTTGGGAGGCCAAGGCGGGTGGATGATTAGATCAGAAGTTCAAGACGAGCCTGGCCAACATGGGGAAACCCATCTCTACTAAAAATACAAAAATTAGCCGGGCATGGTGGTGCGTGCCTGTAATCCCTGCTACTAGGGAGGCTGAGACAGGAGAATCGCTTGATCCCAGGAGGTCGAGGTTGCAGTGAGCCAAGACGGTGCCACTGCACTCCAGCCTGGGTGACAAAGTGAGGCCCCATCTCAGATAAAAAAAAAAAAAAAAAAAAAAAAAAGCTAGCTGGCCGTGGTGGCACACACCTGTGGTCCCAAGCTACTCTGGAGGTTGAGGCGGGGAGGATCGCTTGAGCCCAAGAGGCTGCGGTGAGCTGTGATTGTGCCCCACTTCGCATCCATCAGGATGGCTGAAATTAAAAAGCCAGAGCTAGTGCTGGCGAGGACAGGCAGCAGTGGAACCTCATACACTGCTGGTGGGAATGTGGACTACAGCAGCCAACCTGGAAGACAGCTGAGCAGCACAAAATTTGTACAAATATGTTCACAACAGCATTATTCATAAAAAGTGGAAACAACCCAGATTTCTATCAACTGATAAAGTGTGGTAAAGCCCTACAATTGAATATTATTCATGAAAAGAATTAAGGATATGAACTGTGAAAACATGATGCCAAGTGAAAGAAGCCACTTACAAAATAACATACATTATATGATTCCATTTATATGAAATGTACAGAATAGGCAAATCTGTAGAGACAAAGTTAAAAGTGGCTGTCTGGGGCTGGTGGTTGGGAAGGTGGGCTAGTAGGTACAGGGTTTCTTTCTGGGTGGTGAAAATGTGTTTAAACTTATGACTGTACAAGTCTGAATATACTAAAAAACACTGAACAATATACTTCAAGTGAGTGAATTACATGGTATCTGAATTTTATCTCAATAAAGCTGTTACCAAAAAATAAAACCCTGATGCCTGGAACTCACCCCAGACCAAATAAGCCACAGTTCCTGGGAAATCCTTTTTAAAAGCTCTCTGGTGATTGTATGTGCAGCCAGCCAATGCTGAGAACAGCACTGATCTGCAAGATTTTATCACTGGGATGAGCAGAGCAGTGCTCACAATTTCAATGAAAAATTCAGGTGTTGGTTTTGACATGGAAAACAAGTTTTGTGTGAAATTTTGATTCATCTGTGTGAATAGAAGGGTTTTAAATATGAACTTGAACAAAGAAAAACATTTAGCCAACACTGAAAGACTGAAACACAAACACAGGCCTATAAAGGTGTCAGTCTAGCAGCCTTACCTATTAAGCTCATGAACCATAGAGGTATCTCGGTGGCCCCTCATTACCATCTGCTGTTCTTTCAGCTGTTTAGCTACCTGCCGAGAGAAAAACGACTTTCAAAATCCAACTGGAACATTTCACTGCTTACATCTACCACGTTCTATGCGAAGTGCTCGCCACACACTAACACGTAACATACAATAACCTGAAAGTTGCATTGTCATATCATTCGCATTAAGCCTGAGGAAACCAAAGCTTCAGTGCTCCTCCGCTCCATGTTACCCATATGAAACCGGTGCTTCTCAACCCTTCTTCAATTACCAAACAAGATTTTGTTTTGCAGGAGGGTTGCAAACCACTGTAATATCTAAGAATTTTTTACCTTTTGGGAACCAATTTTTAGCCTGTTGGGGTGACACTGACTCATTAAAAATGTATAAATTAAAGCTTAAGTTATAAAGGAGTGTATCCACTACTGTTTTGACAATTAAATATGAATTTTCCAAAAACAAAGTTTTATTTTACTTTTTTAAAAATTTTTTATTTATCTATTTATTTATTTATTTTGGAGACGGAGTCTAGCTCTGTCGCCAGGCTGGAGTTCAGTGGCACGATCTCAGCTCACTGCAACCTCCGACTCCCAGGTTCAAGCGATTCTCCTGCCTCAGCCTCCTGAGTGGCTGGGATTACAGGCATGCGCTGCCACGCCCAGCTAATTTTTGTATTTTTAGTAGAGAAAGGGTTTTACCATGCTGACCAGGATGGTCTCGATCTCCTACCCATGGGATCTGCCCACCTCGGCCTCCCGAAGTGCTGGGATTACAGGCGTGAACCACTGCGCCTGGCCTTTTTTATTTTTTTGAGACAGGATCTCGCTCTGTCACCCAGGCTGGAGTGCAGTGGTGCAATCTTGGCTCACTGCAACCTCCACCTCCCGGACTCAAGCGTTACTGCTCCGTCTCAACTTCCCAAGTAGCTGGGACCACGGGCTTGCACCACCGTGCCCGGCCGATTTTTATTTGTATTTTTTTAGTCATGACGGGGTCTCGCTATGTTGCCCAGGCTGGTCTCAAAACTCCTGAGGTGAAGCGATCCAGCGGCCTCAGCCTGCCAAAGTGCTACGATTACAGATGTGCGCCACCATGCATTGCCAAGAGTTTTATTTTAAAATAAACCAAACACTTACATCTTTGGCTGAGGAACCAGACACTTCAATCCATGTCTTAGAGAAGAATGCACATGACCCCAACATGAAGATGATATAAACAACGACATGGACAGGATCCTCAAAGATGGCGCCCATGGACTCAGGAGGAGAAAGATAGTAACAAAGGCCTCCAACTGGGTAAGAACGTGCGGGTCCTCCCCCACTGACATCCTACAGAACAGGAGTACAAAGAACAAGTGGTCAACCTAATTAGTCAGGAATACATTTGCATGTCACTTCAAACTTCTCAGAAATGACAGTGTTTTAAGTTCAAGGCATCTACAGCTAGTCATTCTATGTAGTTTCAGAATGTACTTTTGTGTCTACTACCTTCACTCCTTCAAAGTTATACGATGAACACCTATTACATGCAAGACACTGTGAAAATATTGAGTCATTTTTAAAAATTGTAATATATTACAAAATCTTCCATTACTGAAAATAGGAATATGATTACATTTACAATCAACCTCTGATTATACTTAAAATCTGAAATTTTCTGAGCTATGAGAGTATCCAGTCAGTACATTAAGATCCCTATGAATGATCCTTCCATATGAAAATATTAATGCAATCAACTAAAATACTGACATAAGACTTTAACTTGCTGCCTAGACTTTATGTGGTTTCTATGTTATAAGGAGCAATCTTTTAATAAATATAATAATTGGATTTTTATCTATATACTTAAATCTTACAGAAATAGGAACAGCATTATTTGCTCATATTAAATAAAGTTTTGGGGTATACAGATAGGGGGTGAGAAACCAATTTTTAGTTGCGATGATTACAGTATCTGGTTCTTGAATTTATGACTGCCCAATGATTTCTTTACTGTGCCCCTAGAATCATTAATCCCAGATCAAAAGCACTATCTCCCAATCATTCTCTCATTCAGAAGAATCTTACTCAAAATCATAACACAAATTGTACAGGACCAACTACTCAAAGCACTATCACTATGACATTCTGATCAGAGTAATAGCTGCTGCTGGACTATTCTAAGGAGGGCAGAAACAGCATTCTTCTTATTCCTGTCTCTTGACTTTCCTGTCCTCGATATAATATTAGCCAGAATACAACAGAGATCATCACATTTCTCTTAAATGAATGGGAAAGAAGTATTATGAATAAAGGGAATCCTATTCCCTTCAACTAATATATGAGTTACTGTCTTATTATCTTAAAAAAACCTTTTTTTTAAATGACATTCAGTAAAAGCAGAAAGGTATGAGTCTTTGTAACTTATAATGCAAAAAAAAAGCATATTAAGACAAATGCACAGAATAAACACCATATTTCAAGAATAACTGTACAGAAAAATACTATTCTTTGGTGGGGTGCAAATTCTAGAATTACCTACTGTGGCAAAGAATAAAGGACATTAGTCTTTTAAAATTCTATTATTTTTGAGACACGGTCTCACTCTGTCAACCAGGCTGGCATGCAGTGGTATGATCACAGCTCACTGTACCTTCAAACTCCTGGGCTCAAGCAATCCTCCCAACTCAGCCTCCCAAGTAGCTAGGACTACAGGCACGTAACACTGTGCCCGGCTAGTTTTTAAGTTTTTTTGTAGAGATGGGGTCTCGCTATGTTGCCCAGACAGGTCTCCAACTCCTGGCCTTCAAGCTATCCTCTCTCCTTGTTCTCCCAAAGTGCTGGGATTACAGATGAGAGCCAACACGCCTGGCTAAAATCTATAATTTTAAGAGGGAAAATACCCCTTTGTTAGGTGACAGAATTTAAACCAATGAAAATTCAGTCCCACAGTAACTCACGCTTCAATAACAGCGTGGCTAGATGGCTTTAGAAAAAATTATGGGCCGAGTGTGGTGGCTCACGCCTGTAATCCCAGCAATTTGGGAGGCTGAGTCGGGCAGATCACAAGGTCAGGAGATCGAGACCATCCTGGCTAACACAGTTAAACCCCGTCTCTACTAAAAATACAAAAAATTAGCTGGGCGTGGTGGCGGGCGCCTGTAGTCCCAGCTACTTGGGAGGCTGAGGCAGGAGAATGGCATGAACCCGGGAGGCGGAGCTTGCAGTGAGCCGAGATCGTACCACTGCACTCCAGCCTGGGCGACACAGCGAGACTCCGTCTCAAAAAAAAAAAAAAGAAAAAAAAATTATGATGGGGGATGTATATGAGAATGTATAGGATTATATTACTAGCAGCACCGCTGTCTCTACCGTCTAGTTAATAGCATGCCTATCTCTAGCCCAGCTCATCACAAGCTGGCTTATTGCCATTCAGACCATGAAAAATGGAGGAGGCCTGGAGGCAGGGTGGGAGATAGGAAAGGTTAGGATGAGTCCAGTATCTCACATGTTAGCAGCAGCAAATAGCATTTTTTGTTTTTATTTTTTGGAGACGGAGTCTCGTTCTGTCGCCCAGGCTGGAGTGCAGTGGCGTGATCTCAGCTCACAGCAACCTCCATCTCCTGGGTTCCAGCAATTCTCCTGACTTGACCTCCTGAATGGTTGGGACTACAAGCACCTGCCACCACACCTGGCTAATTTTTGTATTTTTAGTGGAGACGGGGTTTCACCATGTGGCCAGGCTGGTCTCGAACTCCTGACCTCAGGTGATCCACCCACCTCAGCCTCCCAAAGTCCTGGGATTACAGGAGTGAGCCACCGCACCCAGCCAGCAAATAGCATCTTTTAGAAAGCATTATTGTAGACAATACTGGAATAAGATGACAAAATAGGAAATTACTTTTATGAAATCAACCACAATTTTAGCTTAAAAGGTCATTCAAATGAGATGTGAAAGTGCTTCCTAGAGAGCAAAATAATAAAAAGCGCTTGGGCAATCTTACTTCTGCAACACTTACCAGTTCTTCCAGATAAGTACTAAACTCTGCTATATAGGTAAGTGAATCTGAAAATACAGCAAATGCTCCAATGTCGACCTCATTCCATTAAAAATACAACCATGAAATGCAAATTATAATAAACTATAAATAATGTAAATAAACATAATACTCACGGCCCACTGTCCTAGTAAATTTACTAAAAAGTTGCCACTAAATCGAACAGACAGCATCTGGGAAATAACATACAGGTTGGACACCAGGGCCGACTGGAGGATGATGGGGATGTTGGAGGTGTAGAAGAGTTTGATGGGGTAGCTGCTGTACTGTCCTCGGTAACGGGCCGACTTAATGGGCAGATCAACGCGAAATCCCTAAAAAAGGAAACGGAGAGTAAGTGGGGGAGCCAGACACATTAAGAAAAGAACAGAGACCAGAGAGGGAAAACAAAGAACAGTGCGGGGGATGAAAAGACAATGCCGGCCGGGCACAGGGGCTCAGGCCTGTAATCCCAACACTTTGGGAGGCCGAGGCGGGCAGATCACGAGGTCAGGAGATCGAGACCATCCTGGCCAACGTGGTGAAATCTCATCTCTACTAAAATACAAAAAATTAGCTGGGTGTGGTGATATGCACCTGTAGTCCCAGCTACTCAGGAGGCTGAGACAGGAGAATCGCTTGAACCCAGGAGGCGGAGGTTGCAGTTAGCCGGGATTGCGCCATTGCACTCCAGCCTGGCGACAGAGCAAGACTCCATCTCAAAAAAAAAAAAAAAAAAATTAGCCGGGCGTGGTGGCACGTGCCTGTCATCTCAGCTACTCAGGAAGCTGAGGCAGGAGAATCACTTGAACTCGGGAAGAGGAGGTTAGAGTGAGCTAAGATCGCGCCACTGCACTCCAGCCTGGGCAACAAGAGCAAAACTCCGTCTCAGGAAAAAAAAAGAAAAGAAAAGACAATGCTAACAAAGACGTTCTGCCTTTTAAACTGTCGAGAGTCTGCTTCCTGCTGATGGGTCAAAACAAAAAACAAAAAAAGTACAGAGACTCCAATATTTCACACCTTAAAATCAGAGTCTGGAGACTCTAATTGCAAAATTTTATTTCCCTTGATCTTAAACCCTGACTTGTTAAACAACAGCATGTCAGATGGCATTCTCTTTAAGAGCAAAATAAAAATCTACATCCCACTTACTTTGGTGAAAAGGTTATACTTACTTGGAAATATATAACAACAGCAAACACAAAAACTGTAGCAATGAGGTTCATGAGATTGGGTAAGTTCTGCCGATAAAAAGCCTCCCGTAAAGCTCGGACTTTGTCCGTCCTGGTGGCCAACAAATGGAACAGAGCTATGACTGCACCCTCAAACTCAGTACCTGTAAAATCAAGACAGACACGACCTGTGGACTCATCGTCCAAAGCTGTCCCAAAGCTCAAACAACTAACCGTGAAAGTCCAGTATACAGCAGAAAATATGGGTCAAAAGAATTCGCCAATGTTTGCTTTATGATATAGCCATGTGAGCAGGTTCTACAAATATTTAGATCATTGAGGCAAATCTATGTTTTTATAGCATAAATCCGAAGTTTTCTCAAGAGACTATTCTTGAAGAAAACATACAACGTAAAATTTACCAAAGCAAAATTTCATTCATAGAGATTTGCCTCTCCTCTACTTCAGGGAAGGGAGAGAGTGTTTTTAGGAAAAATAAACAGCAGCGAAGCAGAGCAGAGATGTCAGAATAAGAGACAGATGTCACTCTATCGAGCCTGCCTCGAAGTTTACCGCACCAAGAACATTAATCATCATTACAGTTTTCTTAAGGCTGGGATCAGAGTTTAGGTATTAACCACTTAGGACAGTATCTGTTAGAAGTGGAGATGAGGAAGGGGAAAGAGAGAATGAAATATTTCAAAACTTTGGTGCTATTACAAAGCCAATTAGAAGAGCAGCAGAGTAGGAGTGCTCCAGGTGGATTCAATGAACAACAGTCTTTTCATTTGAAAAATCTAAAATCCACTACCTTTTTATCCCCCTACGGATGCTGAAATCAGTCAAATAAATGACTTCTGCAGCAATGCCTTAAGCAAGGTTAACAAAAGAAATTTTGAAAATCTGTTTGCAACCACTGAAATTTTAAATAAGCAGAGGCTAAAATTTTGATACTATTCTCTCTGAGGTAGTATTGCTTACTCCACAAATCTCTGCTCATTAAGTTTTGAAGAATTCGCATTCCTTATCCCCTAGGAGAGCAAACCAGAACGGCTCTAGGCATGTACTGCGACACGATGGGTTTGTTCCCAGCACACATCCAGCAAAACGCGTGCAGTTGCAGTCGCTGTGCGATGTACCTCTGCCAGTGTTAATGGTAGTGGGACTAAAGGCCTTCCAGACAATGGTCTCACAGATGTTGGTGGCAATAAAGAGGGAAATCCCAGACCCCAAGCCGTAACCCTTCTGTAGCAGCTCATCTAACAGCAGCACAATCAAACCAGCAACAAACAACTGTGGGGAAAGAAATGCAAGTAAGCGGAAGCAAGAACAAACTCAAGAAAGGGGGAGAGGAACACCATTGGCTATTTCCAAGCTAGGGGCGTTTTGAATATTAAGGCCTGATCGTTGCAATCTCACTGTGATGACCAACTGCATCTTTTGGCCTGCTTTCATTTACTCAGGCCAATCTAGAACAGTAAGAGGACTGGAAATACTGTTGTATTATAAAGCAGACATTTCAACTTTTAAAGTCTATTTACACTTATCTGAATAGTTTCTTTTGCAATGTTTAAATAAAGCCTGTTTGAAAAGCACACTGAAACAAAAAATGATCACAGTATTCTAGAATTTATGACAGCAAGAAACTGAAAACATCCCAAATACCTCCAAGGAAGTAAAAAGTCAGATGAATTCTGGTATAATAGCAAGATGGAAATGTACACTGCCATCAAAGGATAAGTCTAAGGGCTGTGTTGATCCTTTGAAAAAAGCATTATATATATTATATATATGTATACTCTATAAAATGTGTACAGAATAAAAAACTAGAACACAAATATGTACTCAAATACGTACTCGAGCAGCAATGTAAAAATGCATTCTATACACATAGTGACAAAGATTGAATGTAAATTTGAAGACGGTTAAGGTTAAGCTCATATTGTTTTTAAAAATGAAAGCATACTGACTTTAATTTATGGGATATTGAAAATTCTGAACTTGCTTCTTGGAGAAGACATTCCTGTAAAAGTATGCATTAATTAAAAACAGTCCCTAGCCCTTCAAGTGACCTCCTCAGTCATATGACCCCTTCCCTGCACTCAAATAACCTAATCAAGACAGGAAGAAAATATGCTTCCATGCCCCCAACCTCACACATGTCCCCACTTTAAAGACACCCTCCGGCAGAAGTGAGGAAGTCACTTCCATTCCTCCCAGCTCTCAAGCCGCCCACCCTCATTTTGTACTCACTTTATCCAATATCACCTGCTGGAAGAGCGACCAAAGTAACCACATGAGACCATTTTAGGCATGCTTACCTTACACAGTGTTGTTTTTCTCCTTAACTGCCATTTCAGTAGTTGGACAGAGCCTAACTTGTCTATTTACAGGCTTTTAGTCTGAGTTTCAATGGGCAGGAGAAAGGGTACGATTCTCCAAACTTCTAAGAGAGATCATGCTAATCCTTTACTGCTTGAAAACCAAGTTCGACATTTTGACAAAATAATGTAGAGGTTAGGACTTACTACCGATTCTATTTAACCACAATCATGTAATTAGTGAACAGAGACTCCCCATCATAGAGAAACCCATCCTATGCAGGAGGCAACAGCCGTCCATGAACATCAGCCACAGAAAGCATCGTGATGGGCCTTGAGAAATGACCTCTCCAGAGTCCCACAGCAGCTCTGAAACAACTCTAATTCTCCACACCCCCTGTTCAGAACAGTGACCATCGGACTACAGAGTGGTTCACATATGTCCTGTGAAAATTAAACTTGGGTTTTTCCAAAGGGAGGAAGAAATTATACAGAAATGAGAAACGGTTTCTATAATTAAGGGAATAAAAGCCAGTAAATATCATGCATGCCTGTGAAAAGGGATGAGAACCCAGGAAGTGACAGCAGCGTCTACAGTGATGGGACCAGAACCCTAACTGCTACATGTTCACGGGGAATGGACGACATGTATGATGAGCCGGTATAAACATGGCACTTAACATTTTAACCCTGCACGACACCTACACACAACTTAGTTTTGTCAAACTATCTTTTGTTCAGTATGTCAAAACATACTTACCTTTATTATGTGCCATGCACACTGATATTCTCTAATAGTTTTTTAAAATTTTTAGTCAAGACCTGCTATGTAGATTTCTAAACTCACTAGCTGAAAAACACTAACCACGTGAATGAAACATAAACAAATAAGGTGAGAAATACCTTCCACAACGGCATGCAAACAGTTTTCAAAACCTATGTTTCTGGGTGAAACACACTGATCCAATCATAGCTCTTCAGTGTATCCACATATTTTCAATGTTAGTAACGCCTTGAAAAGACACCAATGGGTCACTGCCCACCTACAATCAAACATGACACCCCTCTTTATATATTAACATTAGAAGAATTAGCCATAACACGCATATTTGTGTATCAGAATTCATGTAAATGAATCAGTGTACATCCACTTCACTTGTTTCATTCTTGGACTGTAAGTATTTCTGATTTCTGAATACTGAAAATGAACAGCAAAATAGCTTAACTCTATTTTATATCAATTTCAATCCATAACTGACTCTGTAAGAAGTCAATCCTGTAGCTAGCTGGCTGAGAATCGCTCAGTGGAGATTCCTTAGGAATCTGAATAGATCCTTAAGTAAGATACTAGAGAGCTTTTCTTGATGTATAATGTTCTACGAGCTACATGCCAGTTCTAAGTGTCTTCTAAAAATCAAGATTATTCTAAACTCTGGATTGCAGAAAGAAAATGCTGTAAAGAAACAAAACTGAAGGCAACAATTGGCCTGTCCATAACCTCAACAATGCCTAAAGCATACGAAGAGAAACCCTAAGCCCTGAAAGATACTAAAATCAGACTCCAGAATATCATCTCTCCCCATCCAATGCGCCTCTTTCCCTAATTCCCAAGGGCTGTAAATTTGCCAATCAAGTGATTTGTAAATGGACAAATAAAGACAAAGACAAAGTTAATCTTTTTTTTTTTTTTTGAGACAGAGTCTCACTCTGTCGCCCAGGCTGGAGTGCAGTGGTGTGACCTCGGCTCACTGCAAACTCCGACTCCAGAGTTCAAGCGATTCTCCTGCCTCAGCCTCCTTAGTAGCTGGGATTACAGGCACACACCGCCACGCCTGGCTAATTTTTGTCGTTTTATTTTGTTTTAGTTTTTGAGACGGAGTCCCGCTCTGTCGCCAGGCTGGAGTGCAGTGGTGCAATCTCAGCTCACTGCAACCTCCGCCTCCTGGGTTCGGCCTCAGCCTCCCAAATAGCTGGGACTACAGGCTCCTGCCACCACGCCCTGCTAATTTTTGTATTTTTGGTAGAGACAGCGTTTCACCATGTTGGCCAGGATGGTCTCGATCTCCTGACCTCGTGATCCGCCCGCCTCAGCCTCCCAAAGTGCTGGGATTACAGGTGTGAGCCACTGCACCCGGCCAATTTTTGTGTTTTTAGTAGAGACAGGGTTTCACCATGTTGCCCAGACTGGTCTCAAACTCCTGACCTCAAGTGAACTGCCCATCTCGGCCTCTCAAAGTGCTGGAATTACAGGTGTGAGCCACCACATCTGACAGTTATTCTTTAAGGAAACGTATCTTCTACCAAATGCGAACACACTGGGGATCAGAAAGCTTCCAAATAACCTGATTTTCATTAAAAATTCCTGCCCTGGGCGGGGCGTGGTGGCTCACGCCTGTAATCCCAGCATTTTGGAAGGCCGAGGCGGGTGGATCACCTAAGGTCAGAAGTTCAAGACCAGCCTGGCCAACACGGCAAAATCCCATCTCTACTAAAAATACACAACTAGCTGGACGTGGTGGCAGGACCCTGTAATTCCAGCTACCGGGGAGGCTGAGGCAGAATTGCTTGAACCTGGGAGGCGGAGGTTGCAGTGAGCCAAGATTGCACCACTGCACTTTAGTCTGGGAGACAGAGCAGGACTCCGTCTCGAAAAAAAAAATTCCTGCCCTGGTCAAATGACAAAACAGTTCCATCTCATTAGAAAAGTCATGTTTATTGTTAACAATGCTAAATAAATACTTGAACAGCATAACTTTCCTGGATATAAGTCACACTCATTAAATAATCATGTTTTGCTTCCTACATAACATTTCTAATTTAAAAAACAGAATGCTCTGTAATCCCAGCACTTTGGGAGGCTGAGGCAGGAGAATCGCTTGAACCCAGGAGGCAGAGGTTGTGTTGAGCCAAGATTGTGCCGAGCTGAGATTGCACCATTGTACTCTAGCCTGGGCAACAAGAGTGAAACTCCGTCTCAAAAATAAAAAACAAAAACAAAAAAACCAGAATGCTCAACCATGCCAGTCTGAGACAGTCAGATTTCCTTCTATGTATATATTAATAAACTGGTATTTGAGATTATTAAAAAATATTTTTCTCAGCTTGATCTTGATCTTTTGAACAGACAGAAAAAAATACCTGGCCGGGCACAGTGGCTCACGCCTGTAATCCCAGCACTTTGGGAGGCCGAGGCAGGCGGATCACGAGGTCAAGAGATCAAGACCATCCTGGCCAACATGGTGAAACCCTGTCTCTACTAAAAATACAAAAATTAGGTAGGCATGGTGGCGCGCGCCTGTAGTCCCAGCTACTCAGGAAGCTGAGGCAGGAAAATCGCTTGAAACCAGGAAGGGGAGGTTGCAGTGAGCCGAGATCGTGCCACTGCACTTCAGCCTGGCGACACAGCAAGACTGTGTCTCAAAAAAAAAAAAAAGAAAAGAAAAAGAAAAAATTTCCTAAACTAATCCCAATTTCATAAAGTGAAGAAGAAGAGGCATTTCCAAGAAAATCAGGACTCCAGATACCCATTGTTTATTAACTTCAGCAAACTTCTTTTCAAAACACAAGAAAGATAACTTAAGTATGATCTGTTCTTGGGTAATTTATCTAAATGGTTTTTAAGGATTGTACAATAGAGAAATAGCTTCCAAACTTAACATATTTTAAGATACTTAGGGCCGGGCGCAGTGGCTCACGCCTGTAATCCCAGCACTTTGGGAGGCCGAGGCGGGCGAATCACGAGGTCAGGAGTTCAACACCAGCCTGGCCAACATGGTGAAACCCCCGTCTCTATTAAAAATACAAAAAATTAGCTGGGCGTGGTGGCAGGCACCTGTAAGCCCAGCTACTCAGGAGGCTGAGGCAGGAGAATTGCTTGAACACGGGAGACAGAGGCTGCAGTGAGCTGAGATTGTGCCACTGCACTCCAGCCCGGGCAACAGAGTGAGACTCCGTCTCAAAAAAAAAAAAAAAAGATACTTAGGACACTAATAATTATGTTGACCTTTAAAAATTCCATTCCTAAGCATCCATTTAAAAAACCCATGGAATATATTTATGTGTGTATAAACAGTGTTTCACTGACTCTAAGACATTACCATGTAAAACATCATTATTTTGTGTACTACTAAGAAAAGAATACTGCCAATTAACTTATGGCACAATACCTTATTGCAAAGAATTTTAATTTTCTACTTACAAAAACGTATTTTAGACCTAGTGGTAGATATTTATCATCTAGCTTGCCCTTCTATACATAAACTTTCATTTCAATAACAAATCACAACAGATTTTCTGAACACCTTTAGACAGCGATTGAACTCAAACACCCATTCTGTGAAGATCACACTCAGCCAACTAAGGTCAGCATGACCTGAACAGGCTGACACACGCACAGGCAGTGACACCACCATGACTGCCTCCTGGCAGACCGCAAGTGGAAGGCACTGTTTACTGTACAAAAACATCCTGATTCTAGAGACATCAAAATGTGACAAATGTGTATCTTAAGAATCAATAAAATACAATTGATCCATAATTCTTTGTATTGTGCAGTTATGAAGCTATTAGAATAAATTTGAATTTTTCACGTCAACACAACTTGAACACGTCACGGTGACAGAAGGTTTTAAAAAAATTTTACACGTATCACTTCAGTGATCAAAATACTAGAATTAAATAATTCAAAAGTAAGAAAATGAATAAGCCAATCACCTAAAGAACTGTTAGAAAAGGAAAAAGGAATCAAACTGTTTTGTTATCTGCATAGGAAAATATAGGATTTCTTACCTGAATGATGATCAGGAGACAGATTCCGGCACCCATTTCTGCAGGGTCCCCATACATCCCCGTCATGACATACACAATGGCTTGCCCAATGGTAATGATCATACCAAACACTGATGAAAGTTGGGGGGAAAGGAGAGCACGCTTACCACCAAAGACAAGAAAAGACTAGAGAAAACATCTTTACCACGAGCACTCTCAAATTTGGAGAATGCTCTTTAATTGCATTAATGCTCACGTTTCTGGGCTCCATTGAATAAAGCTCTATCTTTCGGTGTATCTCCAACTTCAATGATTTTGGCTCCAGCTAACAACTGCATAATCAAACCAGATGTTACAATTGGGGAGATACCCAATTCCATTAAAGTTCCTGGAAAGGAAGGGGAGAGAAGTGTGCAATGTTTGCTGTACACGATACAAACTGATTTAGAGGTGTCGCACTCCCTAATTACCTCAACTGAAACACACGTGAAAATTTTAACAAGCAAATTTTCATTTCTTAAACACTACTTGCTAAGAAAAGTTCTCATTTATTAACACAATCCTGCAGCAATGCCCTGAATAAAAAGTACTATAGGCTTGGCACAGTGGCTCACGCCTGCAGTCCCCACACTTTGGGAGGCCGAGGTGTGTGGATCACCTGAGGTCAGAAGTTCGAGACCAACGGGACAACATGGAGAAACCCCGTCTCTACTAAAAATGCAAAAATTAGCCAGGTGTGGTGGCGGGCACCTGTAATCCCAGCTACTCAGGAGTCTGAGGCAGGAGAATCGCTTAAACCTGGAAGGCAGAGGTTGCAGTAAGCCGAGATTGCGCCACTGCACTCCAGCCCGGGCAACAGAGTGAGACTCCATCTCAAAAACAAACCAAAAAAAAAGAATTTATAGGGAGAAATAAGAAAATCAAATATGCCAACTGTATAAGGAAGGTATGGAATCAAGTAATTCTACAGTGCCAAGACTTCCTGGGCCACTCTGTCACATCACTCCCTTCAATCCTGTTTTCATAAATGCTGAAAAGGTGGCCTTCATATGAGAAAATAGTCCACCTTACGGGGGATTTTTGATGTCGTCTCAGATACTTCCTCAATAGTAAAAAATAAAAACATGTTTTAGTGTTTAAGACATTAGATAGATTTATTGGCCAGGCGTGGTGGCTCACGCCTGTAATCCCAGCACTTTGGGAGGCCAAAGCCAACAGATCACCTGAGGTCAGGAGATTGAGACCATCCTGGCCGTCTCTACTGAAAATACAAAAATTGGCCAGGTGTGGTGGCGTGCGCCTGTAGTCCCAGCTACTCGGGAGGCTGAGGCAGGAGAATCCCTTGAACCGAGGAGTTGGAGGTTGCAGTGAACCAAGATCGCACCACTGCATTCCAACCTGGCGAAAGAGTGAGACTCCATCTCAAAGAAAAAAAAAAAGCCGGGTGTGGTGGCTCATACCTGTAATCCCAGCACTTTGGGAGGCCAAGGCGGGCAGATCACCTAAGGTCAGGAGTTCGAGACCAGCCTGACCAACATGGAAAAACCCCATTTCTAATAAAAATACAAAAGTATCCGGGCATGATGGTGCATGCCTGTAATCCCAGCTACTTGGGAGGCTGAGGCAGGTGAATTGCTTGAACCCGGGAGGTGGAGGTTGCGGTGAGCCAAGATCCCGCCATTGCACTCCAGCCTGGGCAACAAGAGCGAAATTCTGTCTTAAAAAAAAAAAAAAAAAAAAAAATGGCCGGGCATGGTGGCTCACGCCTGTAATCCCAGCACTTTGGGAGGACGAGGTGGGAGGATCATGAGGTCAGGAGTTTGAGACCAGCCTGGCCAATATGGTGAAACCCCGTCTCTACTAAAAATACAAAAATTAGCTGGGCATGGTGGTGGGCGCCTGTAGTCCCAGCTACTCGGGAAGCTGAGGCAGAAGACTCACTTGAACCTGGGAGGCAGAGGTTGCAGTGAGCCGAGATCGTGCCACTGCACTTACTTCAGCCTGGGTGACAGAGCGAGACTCTGTCTCAAAAAAAAAAAAAAAGATATTAGATAGATTTCTTAAGTTAGATCACCAAAATTTATTATTGCAAATAGCTCTAGTCCAGAAATAGACTTAATCAAGCTTTAATGAATATTTGATATAAGAAATATGGCATTTCAAATCAGTAGAGAAAAAAATGGACCTTGGCAAAAAAATTGGCCATTTTTAGGAAATTAAACCTAGATTCCTTACCTCATGCCTCATGCCTCACATCAAAACAAATGCTACATGTATAGAAATTTTTTTTTTTTTTTTTTTAGACAGAGTCTCACTGTCACCCAGGCTGGAGTACAATGGCACGATCTTGGCTCACTGCAACCTCCACCTCCTGGATTCAAGCGATTCTCCTGCCTCAGCCTCCCGAGTACCTGAGATTACTGGCGTAAGCCACCATGCCCAGCTAATTTCTGTATTTTTGGTAGAGATGGGGTTTCACTACATTGGCCAGTCAGGTCTCAAATTCCTGACCTCAAGTAATCTGCCCTCCTCGGCCTCCCAAAGTGCAGGGATTACAGGCATGAGCCACTGTGCCCAGCCTCCATGTATAGAAAATTTAAACATAAAGGATAAATGACAAAAATACTAGAAGGAAATATGGGTGAGTAGCTTATCATCTTGGGCAAGAAAGTCTTTCTAAGCATGGCAAAAAATCTAGAAGCCACAAAGGAAAAGATGGAAGATATGATTAGATACAACTACAAAACTTCCACGTGGCAAAAGGCAGCATAATGGTTAAAATAAAACTATTAAGGCAGACATGGTGGCTCACGCCTGTCATCCCAACACTTTAGGAAGCTGAGGCAGGCAGATCACTTGAGGCCAGGAGTTTGAGAGCAGCCTAGGCAACAAAGTGAGATGCTGTCTCTACAAAAAATTAAAATACTAGTCAGACATGGTGGTGCCCGGTTGTGGTCCCAGCTACATGGGAGGCTAAGGCAGGAGTATCACTTGGCCCAAGAGGTCAAGGCTGCAGTGAGCTGTTTGCACCACTGCACTCCAGCCTGGGCAACAGAGCAAGAGCCTGTCCCAAAAGAATAAAAAAAAATTAAACACAAATGACAAAAAGTTCTTATCTCTCATGTGCAAAGAGCTCTTACAAATCAATTAAAAAGTGAACAAACTGGCTGGGCGCGGTGGCTCACACCTGTAATCCCAGCACTTTGGGAGGCTGAGGCGGGCGGATCACAAGGTCAGGAGATCAAGACCATCCTGGCTAACATGGTGAAACCCCACCTGTACTAAAAAATACAAAAAATTAGCAGGGCGTGGTGGCGGGCACCTGTAGTCCCAGCTACTCAGGAGGCTGAGGCAGGAGAATGGTGTGAACCCGGGAGGCGGAGCTTGCAGTGAGCTGACATCGCGCCACTGCACTCCAGCCTGGGTGACAGAGCGAGACTCCGTCTCAAAAAAAATAAAACAAAAAAAAAAGGAAAAAAACAATTTAAAAAGGAAACAGCAGATACATGATGTGTCTGCTCCTGCTGAAGCTTTCTCAGGAAAATGCAGCACAGGAGTAGGCCCCCAGCATCCAAACCTGTACTGTGCAACCCTGGAACTCTAACTGAAGCTGATCCTGCCTGGTGAGAACCCTGGGCATCTGGAATTTTAAACAAATAATCTGGGGCCAGGCACAGTGACTCAAACCTGTAATCCCAGCACTTTGGGAGGCCAAGGTGGGTGGATCACCTGAGGTCAGGAATTCACCAGCCTGGCCAATATGGTGAAACCCCATCTCTACTAAAAATAAAAAAATTAGTGGCGCATGGTGGCTTGTGCCTGTAATCCCAGCTATTCAGGAGGCTGAGGCAGGAAAATCGCTTGAACCTGAGAAGTGGAGGTTGCAGTGAGCCAAGATCGCACCATTGCACTCCAGCCTGGGCAACAAGAGCGAAATTTGGTTTAAAAAAATAAAATAAAATAAAATAAATCTGGGAGTGTGGAGCTGAATCGCACAGAGAATGGAAAATGTTCACCAATCCCTGCTGCTGAGGCCTAAGGGCTGGCCTTGCTCCCCTTCTTCCTGGGGCTTAGCTGTTCATCTCCACTGTAGATTCCAAAAAATAACCAGTATCCTTCCAGCAAGTATCATGTTTCTGTTTAAGCTAGTCAGTGATTTCCTATTCCTTAATTTTTCTCCTTTATTTAAAACAATGTTTTTTCTTTTTTCTTTTCATGTCAGATGGGTAATGTTCCAACATCCTAACAAGGCTGGAGAGAGGCACATCTCACACACGAGCGTGAAGATCCAATCATCACATCTACGGACTACGAAAGCATCTAGTTTCCTATTACTTACAACAAAAGGAATCTAACACACTAATAAAACTCCACTTATAGAAGAAATACAAATGTTCCATAAAAACAGAAAACAATGTTCAAACTCACCAATCTATAAAGAAATCAAAATTAAATAACTGATGCCAGCTTTTACCTCTCTGACTAACAAAGACTAAAATACTAATAATATCCACTGTTGAAAGAGAAATGGTCATTCTCATATACTGTCGCTGAGAGTGTAAAATCAAACAACTGTTTTGGAAGATAATTTAGCTTTCTCTATCAAAAATTTCAGTATGCCTATCTTGTGACCCAACAGTTGAACTTCTAGAAATTCATTCTATCAAAAAGTTACAGAACGGTGTGATAGCCTTCATTGTAGCATTCTTTATAATGATATAAAATCGGGGGGAAAAAAACGTAATATATGACAAGAAAGGAACCTAGTGGCCTGCAGAAGTTTCCCATCTTCCTTAAAATGTGCTCCATCCAACGGTCTCCAAGCCCTTCATGATCTGACTTAGATACATCTGCAACATCAGGTCCCATCACTCCTCCCTCTTCTTTCATTTCTTCCACCCCACACTCACCTCCTCAATGTTCCTTTTTTTTTTGAGACAGGGTCTGGTTGTGTCGCCCCGGCTAGAGTGCAGTGGCGTGATCTCGGCTCACTGCAATCTCTTCCTCCCAGGCTCAAGCCATCCTCCCACCTCAGCCTCCCAAGTAGCTGGGACCACAGTACACACGACCACACCTGGCTAATTTTTGTGATTTTAGTAGAGATGGGGTCTCACTTTGTTGCCTAGGCTGGTCTGGACTCCTGACCTCAAGTGATCTTCCCGCTTCAGCCTCCCAAAGTGTTGGGATCACAGGCATGAGCCCCTGCGCCTGGCCCCTCCTCAATGATCTTTGAACACACCAAGCACAGGCTCACCTCAGGGCCTTTGCACTGGCTCTTCCCTAGAATATGCCTCCCTCAGGTCTTCATGTGGCCTCCTCTCTCACTTCCTGCAGCTGTCTTCAAAGATCACCTTCCTAGAGCACCTTCCCCACCCCAGGTACCTCCCCAAACAGCAAATATCAACTCCATGACAACTGGGACATTGTCTTGTTCACTGCTCTAATCTCGGCACCTTGCACAAAGGCTGACACACAATATGAACTCAGTAAGTATTTGTTGAATGAATGATCAAATAAATCACAGCGTATCCTTATAATGGAATAATAACATGGCCATTAATAGCTCATGTAAGATATTAAGTAAACAAAGTAGCAGAATAGTATATACAGGACATCTTACTTTTCAGTTATAAGAAGTATATAGATATATGTAAGTGAATGTATGTGCAAAGAAAAGGCCTCAATTGATAGTCACCAATCTACCAAATCCTCCAGAGCTCCCCTCAGAAGTGACACTTTTCTTTTCAGCTTCATATAAATCTGTATATAAATTGCTAGTGCATTTTTAAAATAATAAATCAATATTACCTTTATAACCTAAAAACATCAAAAAAAAATCTGCCATCGATTTAAAGTATGTCCAGGCTGGGTGCAGTGGCTCACACCTGTAATCCCAGCACTTTGAGGGAGGATGGCATGAACCCAGGAGTTCAAGACCAGCCTAGGCAACATGGCAAAACCTCACCTCTACAAAACTACAAAAATTAGCCAGGCATTGTGGCACGCACCAGTAGTCCCAGCTACTCAGGAGGCTGAAGTGGGAGGATCGCCTGAAAAAAGTGTTTCCAAAAAAGAGGCAACCACTGTTCCTAAATGTAAGAAACCTCACGACTGGTTGTACCCCTTGCTACTCTCACTGTCCAGCATCCTCAGCCACAATTTCCCAGATGAACAATGCTGCTTGAGGCTTCAGGCTCAGCTCCAGCTGAGCTCCCCGATTGGCTCACACACTGGACTCCCTTTTTTTTTGGAGGCAGAGTCTTACTCTGTTACCCAGGCTGGATTGCAGTGGTGCGATCTTAGTTCACTGCAACCTCCATCTCCCAGGTTCAAGCGATTCTCTTACCTCAGCCTCCTGAGTAGCTGGGATTACAGGTGCATACCCACACCTGGCTAATTTTTCTATTTTTAGTAGAGACGGGGTTTCACCATGTTGGCCAGGCTGGTCTCAAACTCCTGACCTCAGGTGATCTGCCCACCTTGGCCTCCCAAAGTGCTGGGATTACAGGGGTGAGCCACGGCGCCCCACCTGGACTCCAATTCCAATGTTATCTGGACATCACCTTCTTTGACACTGAAGATCAGGGTTTTCCAGTCCATGAAAACCCAAGAACAGATTTCTCTATGATTACATTAATCACACGGTGTTGTCATTATCTACATACTAGGCTTTTCTAGGCAATGATATCCTCCCCCTCCCTGTAGACATTGAAAACTCATTGCTAATCCACATGTTTCCATCTGTTTGCTGTGAGTAGGAGTGTGGAGACAGAAAAGACACGCATACCTCTATTGGAAGCCAGAATAACTCTCATCCAGTAGAAAGGATCTGCAGAATCTGATGACATGATTCCAAACAGTGGGATCTAAAATAGTACACAAAATAGTTTATGAAACTGTATTATATAAGGCTGAGGCATAAGAATCGCTTGAACCCAGGAGGCAAAGGCTGCAGTGAGCTGAGATCACGCCACTGCACTCCAGCCTGGGTGACAGGAGACTCTGTCTCAAAAAAAAAAAGTATAAAGTGTGCACTTAATTTACAAGGTATTCACTTACTGCTTGCAATACTTTTTTAAAAACTATTCTTATGTTCTTCAACAAAAACAAGCATATCTTCAAGGTAAAGCTGTTTATTAAAAAGAAAATAAAAAGAAAAACATTCCATCACATAGATAAGGGTTAATAAAAAAAATAATTAAAAGAACCAGAAAGTGAAAATAAAAATAAAAACAACAAATCATCACTTGGTGCATTCACTAGTAAATACATCGCTTATGGAGTGTGGTGGTACAACAATGTGAACATTCCTAATGTTACTAAACTGCACATCTAAAAATGATGAAGATGGCATATTTTCTATACTTTTACCACAATTTAAAAAACACTCCCACCAGTAGATTATGGAATATTATACCTGCCTGGTCGTAGAATGATTTTGCAAAGCTCTATATACTAAAGACAGCCAAGGTCACTCTTCTCAATGTAAGACTGAAGATGATATCCACAATGGAATATTACATGGCCACTAAAAATTATGCTTACTCAATCTGTAATAACATGGAAGAAGTACTTATGTCATAAAACTAAATATAAAATAGCAGTTCTAAACTAGGGGTGATTTTAGCCCCCACCCAAGACATTTGGCAATATCTAGAGACATTTTTGGTTGCCACAACTAGGGGCCAAGGTGGAGACCAAAGTGACTCCATCTTGGATGCTAATCTACCATGTTGACTTCTGCTCAACCCTGGTCTCAGGGATACCTCCTGATTCCTGCTTTATTTACAGTCCTTAGTGTAAGAACATGTACTCGCCATAAATCCTGCCCTGAGATCCAAGCAACGTTGATGCTATTACACAAATAACAGGCTGTGACACACAGCATTCTTGCATGTTCTGGAAAGCTGCCTTCAACTGTCCTGCACAAAGCACATACACCCCTTCCCTATGATAGATTAGCCCTGGGTCTGGGAGTAAGAATGCAGGCCTTTCCCTGTCTTACTGCTGCCCCAAACTATGCTTCTGTCTGTAAAATCACCCTCTACTGACAAACTGGATTTGTCTCCCTCATTCATTGGTTTCGCAGCTCCTTCAGTGTTTGCGGGTCATTTTGCATATATGGCCCTTTCACAGAACAGGGGGTGATGGCTAGTAGAGGCCAGAGTGCTGCTGAACATCCTGAAATACACAGGACAGACCCCTGGGGCAAGGAATCATCCTACCTCAAATTCAGGAGTGCGACTGTTAAGAAGCCCTAGTATAAAAACGAAGTACGAAAGTGTATATATAAACTATGACACTGTAAATAGATGCACAGAAAATCAAACTAGGAGGAGATATCTTTTTAAATCCTAAACAGCAATTATCTGTAGATGGTGGGATTATGGTTGACTTTTTCTTCTGTATTCTTTTCATATGTATCAAATTTTCCATAATGAGGACATTAACTTTTCATTAAAACAACAACAAAAAACAACTTAAGTTCAGATTGCTTCCTATTATATAACCCATATTTAGGATACAGCACTTGGCCTTAACCCCTCCTTAACCATGTGGGGATTAGACAAAGACATTTCAAAAACCTTCTCTATATGAAACTGATTTTTAAGAAAGTTACAAAAGATGCTGGCAGCAATTTTAAACAACTCACCTGGTCAACCTAAACCTCCCTGAAAGTCTGAATTTATCAGCTGGGTAATAAAACTGGTAAAGCATGAAACATGGATATTTTATGTGCACCTGGCAGCTGTAGACACTCTTCATTTAAAGTGAGAGGTGAGGGCCAGGCACGATGGCTCAGGCCTGTAACACCAGTATCTTGGGAGTCCAACGTGGGCACATCACTTGAGGCTAGGAGTTCAAGACCAGCCTGGCCGACATGGTGAAACCCCATCTCTACTAAAAATACAAAAATTAGCAGGGAGTGGCGGCTCGTGCCTGTAATCCCAGCTACTCAGGAGGCGGAGGTAGGAGAATCGCTTGAACCTGGGAGGCAGAGGTTGCAGTGAGCAGACATCGTGCCACTGAACTCCAGCCTGGGCGACAAAACAAGACTCCATCTCAAAAAACAAAACAAAAACAGCTGGGAGTGGTGGCTCACACCTGTAATCCCAGCACTTTGGGAGGTCGAGATGGGTGGATCATGAGGTCAGGAAATCGAGATCATCCTGATTAACACAGTGAAACCCCATCTCTACTAAAAATACACACAAAAAAATTAGCTGGGCGTGGTGGCACGTGCCTGTAGTCCCAGCTACTCCGGGGGCTGAGGGAGGAGAATCGCTTGAATCCGGGAGGCGGAGGTTGCAGTGAGCTGAGATCATGCCACTGCACTCCAGCCTGGGTGACAGAGTGAGACTCCATCTCAAAATATTCCACAAGTGGAGAGCGGCCACTCCGCCCAACGACCTTCCTTAATCCGCCATGGTTAGGCGCTCTGTGGGAAACAGCAAGCCAACCTCCCATAATTAATGGTATACCCTCCTTTCCTGCAACCAGTAGGATTATTAAAATTGGTTTCTAATTTTATTTCACTTAGTAAATTCCATAGCTAGAGGATCATGTACAACAACAGGTGGGCAACAATAGGAGCTTATTTTCTATGAATCTGTCACAGTTGCAGAGTTCCAAACTTTGCACTATATTTAATATAATAATCAGTTTCAACTTGTTAAGGCACTCTAAGCAGGTGGCCATTAGCCTGTGGTTGTTTCTGTACCCTGAAGTCTCACAAAAGAAAACTGAAAATGACCTTAGAGGATATTTAATTCTGAATGAGTTTCAGCCAATTACAGACAGTCAACCAGCCTATTGGCTACACAGAAACCTCTCACTGGAACATAATCAAATGAGGCAAACGCCTAGCTGTAGCCAATCAAGTAATTTCTTTACTTCTGCAATTCTTTACTTCTGCTACAAAAGCTCACTGCCCACACCCCTGGAGCAGCTCTCGGCCCCTCTACCCATGTTGAGTGCTGTCAGGTTCATGAATTCTTTTTTTTTTTTTTTTTTGAGATGGAGTCTCGCTCTGTCGCCCAGGCTGGAGTGCAGTGGCGGGATCTCGGCTCACTGCAAGCTCCGCCTCCCGGGTTCACGCCATTCTCCTGCCTCAGCCTCCCAAGTAGCTGGGACTACAGGTATTTGCCACCACGCCCAGCCAATTTTGTATTTTTATTTATTTTTATTTATTATTTTTTGAGACGGAGTCTCGCTCTGTCGCCCAGACTGGAGTGCAGTGGCTCGATCTCAGCTCACTGCAAGCTCTGCATCCTGGGTTCATGCCATTCTCCTGCCTCAGCCTCCCGAGCAGCTGGGACTACAGGCGCCCGCCACCACGCCCGCCTAATTTTTTCTATTTTTAGTAGAGATGGGGTTTCACTGTGTTAGCCAGGATGGTCTCGATCTCCTGACCTCGTGATCCGCCTGCGTTGGCCTCCCAAAGTGCTGGGATTATAGGTGTGAGCTACCGCGCCCAGCTCAATTTTGTACTTTTAGTAGAGACGGGGTTTCTCCATGTTGGTCAGGCTGGTCTCAAACTCCCAACCTCAGGTGATTCACCCGCCTCAGCCTCCCAAAGTGCTGGGATTACAGGCGTGAGCCACTGCGCCTGGCAAGATGACTACTATTAAAATAATCAAAAATACTAAAAGTAGACCAGGATGCAGATCAACTGGAACTCCAGAACACGGCTGGTGGAAATACAAAATGGGGCAACCGAGGGCCGGGCGTGGTGGCTCACGCCTGTAATCCCAGCACTTTGGGAGGCTGAGGCAGGCAGATCACCTGAGGTCAGGAGTTCAAGAACAGCCTGTCCAACATGGTAAAACCCCAGCTCTACGAAAAATACAAAAATTGGCTGGGCATGGTAGCACGTGCCTGAAATCCCAGCTACTCAGGAGGCTGAGATAGGAGAATCGCTTGAACCCGGGAGGCGGAGCTTGCGGTGAGCCGAAATCGTGCCACTGCACTCCAGCCTGGGCAACAGAGCGAGACTACGTCTCAAACAAACAAACAAACAAACAAACAAAATGGGGCAACCACTTGGAAAAGAGCTGACAATTTCTTATAAGTTGAGCATACATTTACTATAAAACCCAACAGCTGTACTTCTAAGGACTCACCCATGAAAAATATCCACAGAAAGACTTATACATGAATGTTCATAGCAAATTGATGTGTTGTAGCCAAAATCTGGATACAACCCAAATGTCTAACAAGCGAATGAATGAATAAACTGTGATAACTTCAACATCAGAACAGTATTCAGAAATAAAAAGGAATGAGTTACTGACGTAACGACCATATGAATTAATCTCAAAAAGATTATGAAGTTAGACACTAAAGAATATACTACTGTATGATTCCATTTACATGAAGCTCTAGAAAAAACAAATCAAAGTACAGTCACAGGATGCAGATGAGTGGTAGCCTGGGCCTGTGGAGATTCACTGAGAAAGGTTACAGTGAACTTCGGGGATGACAGAAGTGTTCTATATCCACAGAGGTTGTAGTCATGTGGGTGTACAAATTTGTCAAAACTCTTCAAAATGTATGCCTAAAAACAGGTGTACTTTACTGTATATATATTATACCTCCACAAGGTTGACTTTTTTTTTAATGGTGGGGAGAGGAGTTTCTAAGATGCTGAAAGTCAATGGTAGAAATATGGATGACTATTCTTTTTTTTCTTTGTATTTTTCTTTGTTTCTTTAAACTTCTCTCCCTGACCATTTAAAACAAATTTAAAACAAGTACAGTAGTAAAAGTACTTTAATTATCAGATCATTTCATCCTTCAGAAAGAAAATATAGTTAGGTTTTCTCCAGATTATGTACCTAATCTGTTCTACTGCTTCCTAATATAATTTTTTAAAAGTTCTTACAAGTATTTCAATAGATTTTCGAACTCCCCAAAAAACCTTGACCTAAATTATCTGGTATGTATGTATGTATGTATCTATGTATTTATTTATTTTGAGACAGCATCTCGCTCTGTTGCCCAGGTTTGAGTGCAATGGCGTGATCTCAGCTCACTGCAACCTCCACCACCTGGGTTCAAGTGGTTCTCCTGCCTCAGCCTCCCGAGTAGCTGGGATTACATGTGCACGCCACCATGCCTGGCTAATTTTTGTATTTTTAGTAGAGACGGAGTTTCACCATGTTGACCAGACTGGTCTCAACTCCTGACGTCAAGTAATCCTCCCACTTTGGCCTGCCAAAGTGCTGGGATTACAGGCATGAGCCACCATGCCCAGCCACCTTGACCTAAATTATCTTATTTAATCTTTACAATAACCCTAAAACATAGGCAGGCCACATTTTATACTCACACTGTGAACTTAATATGTCTGCAACATTTTATTTGAAAGTATCATTGGGCTGGGTGTGGTGGCTCAGGCATGTAATCCCAGCCCTGTGGGAGATACAGGTAGATGGATGGCTTGAGCCCAGGAATTCGAGACCAGCCTGGGCAACATGGCAAAACCTCATCTCTACAATACCAAAAGAAATTAACTGGGTGTAGTGGCTCGTGCCTGTAGTCCCAGCTAGTCAGAAGGCTGAGGTGGGAAGATCACCCGGGCTTGGGGAAGTCAAGGCTGAAGTGATCACTGCAGCCTGGGTGACAGAGTGAGACCCTGTCTCAAAAAAAAACCAAAAAACAAAAACCAAAAAAACACTATCATCAAATTTTAGTAATTTTTAAACACAGTACAACCCAAGATTGCAAAAATTTGGTTTTAGCTTGACCCTTTCCCTGCAAAAGAATTGAAAAATTAGCCAGACATGGTGGGGCACACCTGCAGTCCTACCTACTAGGGAGGCTGAGGCAGGAGCATCACCTGAGCCTAGGAGCTGGAGACCAGCCTGGGCAACATAGACCCCGTCTCTATTTAAAAACAAAAAATTGCCAGATAAAAAAGGGTGTGGTGGCTCACGCCTGTAATCCCAGCAATTTGGGAGGCTGAGGCAGGTAGATCACCTGAGGTCAGGAGTTCGAGATAAGCCTGAACAACACAGCAAAACCCCATCTCTACTAAAAATACAAAAATTCAGCTGGGCGTGGTGGCTCACGCCTATAATACCAACACTTTGGGAGGCTGAAGAAGGTGGATAGCTTGAGGTCAGGAGTTCGAGACTAGCCTGGTCAATATAGTGAAACCCCATCTCTACTAAAAATACAAAAATTAGCTGAGCTTGGTGGCATGCACCTGTAATCCCAGCTACTCGGGAGGCTGAGGCAGGAGAATCACTTGAACTGGGGAGGCAGAGGTTGCAGTGAGTCGAGATCATACCACTGCACTCCAGCCTGGGCAACAATGTGAAACTCCATCTCAAAAAATAAAATAAAACAAAAATACAAAAATTAGCTGGGCATGGTGGTAGGCACCCGTAGTCCCACAGCTACTTGGGAGCCCAAGGAAGAAGAGTCACTTGAACCCAGGAGGCAGAGGTTGCAGTGAGCTGAGATCATGCCCCTGCATCCAGCTTGGGCAACAGAGCGAGACTTTAGCTGGGCATGGTAGTAGGAACCTGTAGTCCCAGCTACTTGGGAGGCCAAGGAAGAAGAATCACTTGAACCCAGGAGGCAGAGGTTGCGGTGAGCCGAGATCATGCCCCTGCATCCAGCTTGGGCAACAGAGTGAGACTCCATCTCAAAAAAAAATTAATAATAAAAAATAAAAAGGATAATAATGCTCAATATATTGAGCTCAATGTATTCTTTATTTTAACAAAAAAAATTCTCAAATTCTAACCAATCAAAACCTTAGAACAATGGTGCAGACATTTATTTAATAGTATAGTTACATACCTGACAACACACTAAGAAAATGAAGAGCGTTATAGCAGTCCACAGAACCTTCTCTCTAAACTGGATCTGTACAACAAAATGTAAAGAATCATCAATCAAAACCAAGAAACAGCAAATTTTTGGGGGGCAGCAGAGTTTTGAGGTTATTCTTTGGGGCCTAATTCACAGAAATTGGGAATGTCCGTTATGTGTTATAAAGGAAGCATTTTTGTTTATTAGGTACAAAGTTTTACAAACATTTTTTTCTCTCTCATACATATACACACACGCACACATATATACAGACACACATGCACAGATGCTTCTTGATGACTGGATAAAGAAGATATGCTGTATATAAATAATGAAATACTTCTGAGCCATGAAAAGAATGAAACCATGTCCCTTGCAGCAACCTGGATGGAACGAACTGGAGGAGGTTATCTTAAGTGAAACAACTCAGAAGTGGAAAGTCAAACACTGTGGGCTCTCACTTAAAAGTAGGAGCTAAACAATGTGTACACATGGACATAGAATATGGAATGACAGAAGTGGAGTCTCCGAAGGGTACAGGGGTGGCAGGAAAAGATGGATGATGAGAAATTACTTAATGGGTACAATGAACGTTATCTGGGTGATGGATACACTCAAAGCCCAGACTTCACCACTACATAATACATTCATGTAACAAAACTGCATTTGTGCTACTTATATTTATACAAATTTAAAAAGAGAAATATGTTCTAAAAAATTAAGCTTATATTTTTTTAAATCTACTTTTACTGAGGAAAGAATTTTCAAATCTAGATTTTTCAGTTTCTCTTTTACTTCAAAATTTTTACCTTAAATATTTTTATTTTATTATTATTGTTTTAAATTTTACTTTAAGTTCTAGGATACATGTGCTGAACGTGCCGGTTTGTTACATAGGCAGACATATGCCATGGTGGTTTGCTGCACCTATCAACTTGTCGTCTAGGTTTTAAGCCCCGCATGCATTAGTATTTGTCCTAATGCTCTCCCTCCCCTTTCCCCCTACCCCCACAGGCCCCTGTGTGATGTTCCCCCTCCCTGTATCCACGTGTTCTCACTATTCAGCTCCCATTTACGAGTGAGAACATGTGGTGTTTGGTTTTCGAAACAGCAAATTTAAAGCACAAATCCACACAAAAACGTAACTAAAGTTCCCCATCGTGACATCCTATTATTCACTCTTAAATGCCCCTTTTTGAAGTACTATCCTAGGTAGACTTTTTTTCTTTTTTTTTTTTTTGAGACAGAGTCTCACCCTGTTGCCCAGGCTGCAGCGCAGTGGCGCAGTCTCGGCTCACTGCAACCTCTACCACCCCAGGTTCAAGCGATTCTCCTGCCTCAGCCTCCCGAGAAGCTGGGACTACAGGCGCACGCCACCACGCCCAGCTAATTTTTTTGTATTTTTAGTAGAGTCGGGGCTTCACCATGTTGGCAAGGATGGTCCCCATCTCTTGAGCACCTGCCTCAGCCTCCCAAAGTGCTGGGATTACAGGTGTGAGTCACTGTGCCGGGCCTAGATTGTTTTCTAATGTCCCTTTCACCTCAGTAGCAGCTACAACAAACAGCTGAACTTCCTAAATATAAGTTTCTTTACTTTTCATAAAAAAGGTAACTTAAATACAGGCAGTTCTCATCTGCATTGTACGGTGTTAAATGAAACTGAAAAGGAGCCAAAGCAAAACAGGGATCCAATGTGCACGCGATTCGGTGAACACTGCACTGTGCGAAGGTGGGCCTGCTGGTGACAGTGCCATATGAATATTTTATAGACTGCAAAGCCAGGGTTTCTCAGGATGCCTTAAATGTTAATGGAACAACTATTTTTACAATCTCAAAGCAATAAAATACTTCTAGCCGGGCGCGGTGGCTCACGCCTGTAATCCCAGCACTTTGGGAGGCTGAGGCGGGCAGATCACAAGGTCAGGAGATCGAGACCATCCTGGCTAACACGGTGAAACCCCGTCTCTACTAAAAATACAAAAAAATTAGCCGGGCATGGTGGTGGGCGCCTGTAGTCCCAGCTACTCGGGAGGCTGAGGCAGGAGAATGGCGTGAACCCGGGAGGCGGAGCTTGCAGTGAGCCTTGATGGCGCCACTGCACTCCAGCCTGGGGGACAGAGCGAGACTCCGTCTCAAAAATAAATAAATAAATAAATACTTCTAAATCAAATAGTAAGTTTAAAATTCTTTTACCTATCTCTATGTCCCTATTCCTGTTAGTTTGATGAGAAATTTGTAGTTTGATGAAGAATTTCTAGAAATTGGCCAATCTAGGATTAACAATATTTCCAGAATTTAAATACCTGAACTCTGAAAGTTTGCAATGATGGAAGAACGATTTGACCCAGTCACAATATCTTCTGAATGCATTCCTGTCATTTTTCTTTCCAACGAATGAATCAAGAAATGGGAGGTATATATTTGTGCAAATGCAATTCATTTACATAAAACAGCTGTACTCATCAAAACCTATCGAGCAGACTGGGTTATTTCTAGTCCAGTAGGTGACATCATTAGCAAACACAATACACACCCAATACTACAGGATTTATAAAGGATCACTACAGACAGGAGAATAACCTGTCTTAACTAACACATAGGCCGAAGAAACACTTAATTTGGAAATGTCACAACTTAAAGAACAGTCATTTTTGAAAGCATGAGTTAACCTATCTAGATTTAAACAGATTTATATTATTTTTATTCACTTTGTGCCTCTTGCAAGGAGGATGAACACCAATAGTTTTCCAATTACCAACAGAGAAGGACTGAGGTAAGGAAATGAATTTTGCTGGTTTCATAGAACAAGCCCTTGAGCTACCCTCTATATTACTAAAATATTATACTTACTTTCCTTTCCGGTTTCTGAATTTCTGGTAGAACTGCACAGAATGGTTTGATAACTTCTAAAAATTTGACTGTAAAAAGAAAAATAATAAATGTTCCTATTATTATGAAGTTAAAAAAAGATCTGTCTTTCTAGAAAATCAAATACAAAGATTCTCTTTCACCAGCAATTCACCCCACCCTTAAGCCCCAAATTAAATCATCATACTGTTCTCCATTTCAAATGATATGTAAAGGAAGAGATATCATTCCAGGGACAAAGAAGTCCAAATGGTTTGATGGCTGGTCAGTAGAAGTGAAGCAATCCAAGCAACCTTTTTCCAGAACTTTCTTCCTCACACTTGTATCCAATCATTTTACATATACAAAAAGGGGGCTGTTCAAAGGGCATCATACTTTCTTCCTCACACTTGTATCCAATCATTTTACATATACAAAAAGGGGGCTGTTCAAAGGGCATCACGACGTCAAAAGGGAGCAAATGTACTCTACCGTGGTACCCGTGAGACAATGCATGACAGAAGAAAGCAGGTATCAGAGGAGGAAGACAGGAGGGTGCCTTCTGCACTCAGGAAGCACAACGGCAAATGGGCTCTTCTGTAGAGAACTGCCTTAAACAACTGAAAGATGCCGAAATGCATAGGTGACAAAAAAATCATGGAATCACCTCCTATAGTTAACTTTTTTTTTTTTTTTTTGAGACAGAGTCTCGCTGTGTTGCCCAGGCTGCAGTTCAGCGGCACGATCTCGGCTCAGTGCAACCTCCACCTCCCAGGTTCAAGTGATTCTCCTGCCTCAGCCTCCCGAGTAGCTAGGATTACAGGCGAGTGCCACCAAGCCCAGCTAATTTTTTTATTTTTACTAGAGATGGGATTTCACCATGGTGGCCAAGCTTGTCTCAAACTCCTAACGTCAAGCGATCCTCCCATCTCAGCCTTCCAAAGTGCTGGGATTACAGGCATGAACCATGGCACCTGGCCCCTATAGTTAACTGGTTTGTTTTTGTTTTTTGAGACGGATTCTCCCTCTGTGGTCCAGGCTGGAGTGCAGTGCCGCCATCTCGGCTCACTGCAACCTCCGCCCCCCGGGTTCAAGTGATTCTCCTGCCTCAGCCTCGTATATAGCTGGGATTACAGGCGCACGGTACCATGCCTGGCTAATTTTTATATTTTTCGTAGAGCCGGGGTTTCACCATGTTGGTCAGGCTAGTCTCGAACTCCTGACCTCGTGATCCGCCCGTCTCGGCCTCCCAAAGTGCTGGGATTACAGGCGTGAGCAGTACCCAGCCCCTGTAGTTACCTTTTTAAAGTATGTAGGCCGGGCTTGTTGGCTCACGCCTGTAATCCCAGCACTTTGGGAGGCCGAGAAAGGCGGATCACTTGAGGTCAGGAGCTCAAGGCCAGCCTGGCCAACATGGTGAACCCCCGTCTCTACTAAAAATACAAAAAAAAAAATTAGCAGGGCGTGGTGGCGGGCCCCTGTAGTCCCCCCTCCCCAGGAGGCTGAGGCAGGAGAATGGCGTGACCCCAGGAGGGGGAGCTTGCAGTAAGCCCGGATGGAGCCATTGCACTCCAGCCTGGGCAGCAGAGAGAGACCGTCTCAAAAAAAAAAAAAAAAAAAAAAAAAAAAGGTATGTAATCTCTGTTTGATTTCATCAGACCACATTTCATTGCCTAGTTACTCTCCCAGGTAATAGAAAAGTACTTGCTTGTGTAAAATAATCAACCCAGAGAATTAACAATTACATTTCATCAGAAAGTATTGTTTTCCCAGACTACTCTTATAACATATAAAGGTAAGATAAATCAAGGTTCTTTAAGGATAGACACTGTCTTCTGGCACGGCTTAAGTCAAGTCCTGCCAGAGAACTGGAGGGTGAAAATGACAATCTCTCAAGCTTCTGTCCTTTGCCAAAGGGTCTGCAATGTGGAGAAAGACAAGCCGCAGCTAGGTATTAGTTAGGCTCTGCGGCTTTTCTTCCCCTACAGACACTGGATTCTATATACCAACATCCCAAAATTGTCTTAAAGCTGACGTGAGTGATTACGTTTCTGTAGTTGCCTAAAGTTGACTATATTATCTTTTTTAAAAAAGCCTCT